>NC_000012.12:71248006-71399521 GCF_000001405.40 Homo sapiens
AATCGAAGAAACTGAGAAAACCCATTCTTGCTGTGTTTGACTTAAACATAAAGAAAACTAGGAGCATTCATTTAAAGATTCCAGAGCTCAGAAAACAACTGTCTGCTGTGTAGAGTGTATAGATATAGATATGATATATTTAAAGTGTGAAATACAACATATACAGTCATACATCACTTAATTATGGAGATACATCTGAAGAAATGCCTTATTAGGTTATTTCTTCCTTGTGTAAATGTTATAGAGTGTACTTGTACAAACCTAGATAGTATAGCCTACTATACACCTAGGCTATATGGTATAGCCTGTGGCTCCTAGGATACAAAGTTGTACATCATGTTACTGTTCTGAAGGAATACTGTAGGCCATTGTAACGCAATGGTAACTATTTGTGTATCTAAGTACATCTAAATATAGAAAATGTACAATACAATACAGTATTATACTCTTACAGGACTACCATTGTATATGTGGTCCAACATTGATCATTGTTGTTGTTATGCGGACCATGATTGTAATATAAGTTTTAAGTATAAAATCAGATTAGCAAATACAACTATGAATTCTCTATCTTAGAGACTACTTCTGGTTTACCAAGCAGCCTTCAAACTGGATGTACAAGTCACATAATTAGTTTAGCCAGCTGGCCATTTGGGTTGTCTCTTCTAGTTTTGACAGGCTAGACCAAATAATTGTTTCTGAGAAATATTTCCATTGGCATGCACTATGCCTTTTTTTTCTTTTTTTTTTTTTTTTTTTTTTTTTTTTTTTTCTGAGACGGAGTCTCACTCTGTTGCCCAGGCTGGAGTGCAGTGGCACAATCTCAGCTCACTACAAAGTCCACCTCCCAGGTTCAAGTGATTCTCTCGCCTCAGCCTCCCAAGTAGCCAGGATTTTCAGGTGCACGCCACCATGCTCAGTTAGTGTTTTTGTATTTTTAGTAGAGACGGGGTTTTGCCATGTTGGCCAGGCTGGTCTCAAACTCCTGACCTCAGATGATCCACCCACCTCAGCCTCCCAAAATGTTGGAATTACAGGCATGAGCTACCGTGCCCGGCCACTCTAGGCCCTTTTTTTTTTTTTTAAGCTATTTGGTATGAAAACAAGCTGACTGTTATATTAGAATATCATTTGATATGGAAGTTTTCAGGACACATAATTAAATCATATCAGTATGCTACAGGAATACATGATTACATACCACACAAACACAAACACACACACACACACACACACACACACACACACACACACACACAGAGTATATTTTAATGTGACTGAGGTTTAGAACTACCATAGCGAGTTTCAGAAGCACACATTATGTTCAAGGGTCGAGTATACCTGGGAACATGATATTCCCAAAAGAAATGTATTTAGCTTCCAAATGATCCATTAAGAAAGTTATAGGCCGGGCACGGTGGCTCACGCCTGTAATCCCAGCACTTTGGGAGGCCGAGGCGGGTGGATCATGAGGTCAGGAGATCGAGACCATCCTGGCTAACAAGGTGAAACCCCGTCTCTACTAAAAATACAAAAAATTAGCCGGGCGTGGTGGCGGGCACCTGTAGTCCCAGCTACTCGGGAGGCTGAGGCAGGAGAATGGCGTGAACCCGGGAAGCGGAGCTTGCAGTGAGCCGAGATTGCGCCACTGCAGTCCGCAGTCCGGCCTGGGCTACAGAGCGAGACTCCGTCTCAAAAAAAAAAAAAAAAAAAAAGAAAGTTATAAAGTACAAGAAATGTTTCCAACTACTGTTTAGCAAAGACTTTAGTACATGTAGGTGAGTTCAGACGACACTAGTGTGTAACTATAATGAAAGTGCTGTGTTCCATGACCTTTTGCCAAGGTCATTTATATTTCATTTTGTTAACCATACTTTTAAGGATTACCCAGGATTTTTGCTTTATGTACTTATTTCCCTCTCTTCAGGAAAGAGGCTAATATCTCATGTATCCATATATTCTCTTTCACCTAATTTTAAGAATATATCAGAGCTAACCATAAACTCATCTACTATTATTGGGAGTCACTATGTGTGAAAGATAGTAAGGTTGATTCGAACTGCCAACATTTAAAATCATCTCCAGGTCATTTATTTATGTGAGTTCTTTGGAGGTAATTAGTAATAGCTTTTTATTTTAAAAATCTTTGTCTTTATTATCAACTAAATCTTAAACCTCACTTCAGGGTTGTTAGAATTTTGTAATTTGATCCAACATTTGCTCATCCGTCTGGGGAATCCCAATGAACAAATTACTTTTTGTTATTAAAAATGACTGGAAATTCCCTCCTAGGGAAAATCACAAATCTCCATTCAGCTAAGGCCAAAAGAATTTCAATATTATTTACTTAAAATAAAAATGACAAAGGATTAGCGAGTCTTACGCAATAACAAATTGCCAAAAATGTTATTACAAGCAAACTGGCTTTTAAATATAGGAAGACGGCTTTCAGACATCTTCCTGTCTAGTTGCTCTTTCTTCTTTTTCCTGTTTCAGAAAACAGTACTTCTACTTCAGTTACCCAAGTCAAAAACTTGGGAATCTGCCATCTCCCTTTGTGCTGCCCACATTTCATCTTCAGGTACCATAGTTTCTATCTGCTAAATATTTCTGGAATGTATTCACTAACACAATGTCTATTCAGGTCATCATTGACTCTTACCTGGATTACTCCTCCAGTTTGCTCTGTCTCCAGGCTTTCTACCTTTCAGACATTCTCCACATATTAGCTAGAATAGTCTTTCTAAAATAAGTCCCATCATTTTTCTTTTCTGCTAAACAACTATTAAAGGATTGTCACATAATCCTTATAAAAGCCAAATTTCTTAACATGGCATAAGGCTCTGTAACTCTGCCTCCTTCCATGCACTCCAGCCTCATCTCTTGGCCCAATTCTCTCATTTCCACCTCTTCTTCCAACTGTATTTCCTTGATTTCTCTAAATTAGGTTAGATGGCCTGTAAAACAAAACAAAACAAAACAAAACAAAAATACTAATGGTGGGGTGACACCAACCAGATGGCACAACAGAAAGCCCTAGCTCACTCTTTCTCCACAAACACATTGATTCAGTAACAATTCAAGTACAAATTATCTTTATGAGAAATCCAGAACTAATTGAAAGGTTCCTGCACCCTAGGAAAATGTGAAACCAGACTCCCTAAAGCCAGTAGAGAGATTGGGGACATTTTCTTATCAGAGACCCTGCCTTGCCCTGGTACAAAGCTCTGTGATCAGAAAGAGACTCCTAGATCTTAGTTTCATCCTAGGGAAGGAGTAGTTGGTTTACATATCCAGCACTCCAACTTTTCTGGAGGGTTTCTGCAGATGACTAGCTTCTGTCTTGCCAGCCTTGAAGCTCTGATTGGTCTGGCACTGTCCAGCCACCCAGGGGAAATAGAAATGGCAGCTTAGGCTGGTAAACACTATAGACTCTCCTCCCTGCTCAGCACAGGACAAGTAGACAAAAATTCCCCACCTCTCAGCTTCCCTCTGGGGAGAGTTGATCCATGGTTCTAACTTTCCAATTTATCCAAGGCTACTCAAAGAACTGTCATCTAACTTGCAAGTCTTGGAGCTCCGATAAGTCTGGTCAGTCTAGCTACCCAGGGGAGAACAGAGATGGTGGTTTAGACTGTAAATGCCATAGCCCTTTTCCCCTAGCTCAGGAGTACACTAGTGGACAAAATCCTCACCTGTCTACTTCCTTCTGGGGAGGTAAAAAGTTTGTATAAGCCCCCAGAATCTCTGGCCAAGATGACTGGTGGGCATCTTCTCCTTTATGAGGCCAGATCATGAAGACTCAGAGAGGTGCTTGTTTTGCCTAATGCACAGACAACAACACAGATAATCCAAAAACAGAAGAAGAAGGAGGAAAAGGAGGAGGAGGAGGAAGAGGAGGAGGAGGAGAAGGAAGAAGAAGAACCAGGCAAAGATGTTCCAAACAAAGCAAAAGATAAATTTCTAGAAACCAGCTTTAATGAACTGGAGTTATTAACTCACAGAGAATTCAACATAAAAATGCTGTCATAAAAAATGCTCACTGAGGTCAAGAAAACAATGCATGGAAAAAGTAAGAATTTTAACAAAGAGATAGAAAATACAAAAAATACCAAACAGAAGTTATGGAGCTAAAAAGGACAAAAATTGAACTGAAAATATGCACTAGACGGATTCAACAGCAGACTACATCAAACAGATAAAAGGATCAGTAAATCTGAAGACAGATTATTGAAAATAATTTGGTCAGAGGAGCAAAAAGAAAAAGGAATAAAAAAGAGTGAATAAAATGTAAGGAACTTATGGGACACTATCAAGCAGTTTAATATATACATTATGTGGTCCAAGAAGTAGAGAGAGAGCAAGAAAGAAAAAGAGAGCTAACTCAAAGAAATAATGACTGACAAATTCCAAAATCTGGGGAAGAAAATGGACTTCCATATCCAAGAGGCCAAAGAGACACAAAATAAGACAAACATAAAGAAATCCATATTAAGACATGTTATCATCAAATTGTCAAAAAACAAAGAGAGAATTTTGAAAGTAGCACAAGAAAAGCAACTTGTCACGTACAAGGGAACCTCCATAAGAATATCAGATTTTCATCAGAAACCTTGAAAGCCATAAGAAAGTGAGATTATATATTCCAAGGGCTGAGAGAAGAAAAAAGAAAAACACTGCAACTGTTAACCAAGAATACTATACCCAGCAAAACTGTTTTTCAATAATAAAGGAGAAATAAACCCGTTCCCAGACAACCAAAAGCTAAGGAGGGTCATTATTGCTAAATCTGCCTTACAAGAAGTGCTCAAAGGAGTTCTTATATTTGAAACAAAAGGATGGTAAACAACAACACAAGAACATATGAAAGTATAAAACTCACTGGTAAAGGTAAATATATACACAAATACAGAACACTATGTTACTCTAATGGTGGTGGGTAAGTCGCTTTTAATTCTAGTATAGAGTTAAAAGACAAAAATAATAATAACAGAAGAGGAAAATTCCTATTTTCTCTCTATTCTACTTTACTGTTCACACAGGACACTTTTGACACCAGATGTAGGTTTCCCACACCAAGTAATTCTGACACTAACTGCCTGGAGTTAGCACAGACCCCACAGGCCAAGGGCTCAGTCCCACAAGACTACCCATTCCCTTCCCACTTCAGATGCAAATCACAAGGGTGTTTCTCCAGGTAACTGAATACTTGTATCTGACTTGACTACAAATCAGAGGTTCCCAGGACCCCCCTCCTCAGGCTTGATCATTTGCTAAAACAGCTCACAAAACTCAGGAAAATAGTTTATTTACTAGATTACTAGTTTATTACAAAAGATATATTAAATAATACAAACGAACATCCAGATGAAGAAATACATAGGGTGAAGTCCAGAAGGATCTCAAGCACAGGAGTTTCTGTTCCCATGGAGTTTTGGAGCGTGCCACCTTGCTGGCACATAGTGTGCTCTTGTTCACCAACCTGGAAGCTCTCTGAACCCTATCCTTTTGGGTTATCATGGAGGCTTCAATTTGTAGTCATGATTGATTAAATCATTGGCCATTGGTGATTAAGTCAATCTCTAGTCCCTCTTCCATTTTCAGAGGTTGGAGTAGAGATGAAAGTTCCTAATCTCTAATCACATTGGTTTATCTGATAACTAACACTCGTCTAAGGGCTTGCTAAAAC
The DNA here is from genome assembly GCF_000001405.40 of Homo sapiens. Lineage (NCBI taxonomy): Eukaryota > Metazoa > Chordata > Mammalia > Primates > Hominidae > Homo > Homo sapiens. The sequence continues at coordinate 71,253,696 of NC_000012.12, forward strand.
CTACCCAATTAACATAAACTCAGTTGTGGTTGAAAGGGCTTGTTATAAATAACAAAAACACCTCTTTTACCTTTATCACTCTGGAGCTATATCAGAAGCCAAGGAAAAAACCCAAATATTATAACAAAAGATGCTCAGGAAATTGCAAGAGTTTTAAAAGCCATGAGCCAAGAACTGTTGACAAAGATCAAAGCATGTATCTAATATTGTATCATAATAACTATAAATAAAAAATGTTAAAGATATACAATATGAATAGAGGTAAATTGTGACAACAATAACATAAATTGGAAAGGGAGAAGTTAAAGTATGGAGTTTTTGTAAGTAATTGAACTTAAGTTGTTATCAGCTGAAAATAGACTGCTATAACTATGAGACAATTTATGTAAGCCTCATGGTAACCACAGAAAAAAATATCTACAAAAGTTTCTTTCAAAAAAGAAAGGAATCAAAGCATATTACTACAAAAAATCAACAAACAACAAATGAAAATGGCAAGAGGGAGAAATCAGACAAAAGAACTACAAAACTAACAAAAGACCTAGCAAATGGTTATAGTATTTTTTTAATCAATAGTTATTTTAAATGTAAATGAATTAATTTCCTCAGTTCAATGTGGTTGAATGAATAAAAAAAAATCTTACTCTATGTAGTCCATAAGAAATTCATTTTAGCTTTAAGAACACACATAGGCTGAAAACGAAGGAATGAAAAAAGATATTCCATAAAAATAGTAACCAAAGGAGAGCAGAAGTGGCTATACTTATCAGACAAAATAGACTTTAATTCAAAAATGCTTACAAGACAATGAAGGCCATTATATAATAATAAAAGGATCAATTCACCAAGAAACTATAACAAATATATATGCACTGAACATCAGAGCACTGAAACATATAAAAGCAAACATTGACAAAACTGAAAAGAGAAATAGAAGCAACACAATCATAGTAGGAGACTTCAACAGTCCAGTTTTGTTAATAGTTAAATAATCCAGACAGAAGATCAAAAGACTTGAATAACACTATAGACCAAGTGGAACAAATATACACAGAATATTCCACCCAACAAGCATTCTTTCTAAGTGCACACGGATCTTTCTCCAGGATAGATCACATGTTAAGTCCCAAAACAATTCTTAACAAATTTAAGAAGACTGAAATCATACCAAGCATCTTTTCCGACCACAATGGAATGACACGAAACATCAATAGCAAAAGGAACACTAGAAAAACTACAAATATTTGGAAATTAAATAACACACTCTTGAACAACCATTTGGTCAAAGACAAAAAATAGAATATACCTCGAGATAAACAAAAATGAAAACACAACACACCAAACCCTATACGGCAAAAAAAATTAATGTAAGGAAAGTTCATAAAAATAAATATATACAATTTAAAAAGGAAAGATCTCAAATAACTCAATTTTATACCTCAATGAACTAGAAAAAAAAGCACAAACTAAGCCTAAATTTAGCAGAAGAAAGGAAATAATGAAGATTAAACAAAAAATAAGGAAAATAGTGAATTAAAAAATGAAACTAAAAGTTGGGTTTTTTGAACAAATAAATAAAATTGGCAAACACTTAGCTAGACTAGGAAAAACAGAAAGAAGACTCAAATAAATAAAATCAGATGAAAGAAGGTACATTACAACTGATGCCATAGAAATAAAAAGGATCATAAGAGACTGCTACAAACAATTATACACCAACCAATTGGAAAACCTGGAAGAAATGGATAAATTCTTAGAAACATAAATCCTGGCAAGGCACAGTGGCTCACACCTGTAATCCCAGCACTTTGGGAGGCTGAGGCAAGCGGATCACAAGTTCAGGTGTTGGAGACCATCCTGGCCAACATGGTAAAACCCTGTCTCTACTAAAAATACAAAAATTAGCTGGGCATGGTGGCTCACACGGGTAGTCCCAACCACTCAGGAGGGTGAGGCAGGAGAATCGCTTGAACCCGGGAGGCGGAGGTTGCGGTGAGTCGTGATCACACCACTGCCCTCCAGCCTGGGTGACAGAGCAAGACTCCATCTCAAAAAAAAACAAAAACAACAACAACAAAAAAAAACATAAATCCTACAAACTTTACATCATGAAGAAATAGAAAGTATGAACAGATCTGTAATTAGCACAAAGACTGAATCAGTAATCAAAAATCTCCCAACAAAGAGAGTCCATAACCAGACAACTTCACTGCTGAATTCTACCAAACACTCAAAAAATTGAAAGAGAAGACTTCCAAACTTACTTTATGAAGCCAACCTTATCCTGATACCAAAGCCAGACAAAAACACCACAAGCACAAAAAAATTTAAAGCCAATATCCATAATTAAAATTGATACAAAAATCCTCAACAAAATACTTGCAAAGTGAATCCAACAGCACATTAAGATGATCATACATCATAACTAAGTGGGGTTTATCCTTGGGGTTCAAGGTTGGGTCAACATATGAAAATCAATTAATGTGACACCCAATAGTAACAAAAAAAATTTTAAATCACACAATTGTCAAAATAAATGCAGAAAAAGCATTTGACAAAATTATTCAAACTCCTTTCATAATAAAAACTCTCAATAAGCTAGGAATAAAAGGAAATTACCCAAACATAATAAAGTTCATATATGAAAAGCCCACAGCAAACATCTTACTTGATGTTAAAAAACAATCTTCTTAATCTAAGACCAGGAACAAGGCAAGAATGTCCACTCTCATCACTTCTATTCACCATAGTACTGAAAATTATAACCAGAGCTATTAGGCAAGAAAAAGAGAAGGCATCCAAACCAGAATGTGAGAAGTAAAATTTTTCCCGTTTGCAGATAGCATAATTTTTGTCTTAGTCTCTTTGAGCTGCTATAACAAAACACCAGAAGCTGAGTAGTTTATAGGGAGCAGAAATTTGTTTCTCACAGTCCTGAAGACTGGAAAGTGTAAGATCAACGTGCCAGCAAAGTCAGTGTCTAGTGAAGTCCTGCCTTCTCATGTATGGCAGCTTCTCTGTCCTTACATGATGGAAGGGCAAACAAGCTTCCTCAGGCCTTTTAAAAGAGCACTAATCCCATTCTTAAAGGCTTCATCTTTATGATCTTATCCCCTCACAAAGGCCCTACCTCTTAATACCATCACCTCAGAAGTTAAGATTTCAATATATGAATTTTGGGAGAACACATTCAGACCATAGCCATCTTATAAATAGAAAACCTTAAAGACTATAATTAAAAACTATTAAAACTAATAAATGAATTCCGGAAAGTTATAGGATACAAATTCAACATACAAAAAACAGTTGTGTAATTATACACCTACAACAAATGATCTGAAAAGAAAATTGGGAAAACAATCTCATTTACAGTGGCACCTAAAATAATAAAATACTAGGAATAAACTTAAACAAGGGGTGAAAGACTCATATACCAAAAACTTCAAAACTTTGATGAAGAAAAGGAACTTAACACAAATAGAAAGACATCTTGTGTTAATAGACTGAAAGATTTAATATTGTTGAAATGTCCATACTACCCATAATGATTTATAGATTCAACAGAATCCTTATCAAAATTCCAGTGGCATTTTTTACAGAAATAGAAAAAAAAAGACACTAAAATTCTTATGAAACCACCAAAGACCATGAATAGCCAACTCAATCTTTAGAAAGAAGAACAAACAAACCTAAAAGTACCACACTTCCTTATTTCAAAATGTACCACAAAGATACAGTAATTAAAACAGTATTTTTAAAAACAGACTTATAAACCAATGAAATGAATGGAGATCCCAGGAATCATTCCATGCATTGATGGTCAACTGATCTTCAATAGGATGCAAGAAATACACAATGGGGGAAATAATAATCTCTTTAATAAATGATGATGGAAAAACTGGACATCCACATGCAAGAGAATGAAATTAATTGGAGCTTTATCTTATACCATACACAAAAATAAATTCAAAATGGACTGAAGACTTAAATGTAAGACCTGAAACTGTAAAATTCTTAGAGGAAAACATAGAGAAAAAGCTTCATGGCATTGACATTGGGAATCATTTTATAGATATAAAAGAACAGTCAATAAAAAACATAAACAAGGAGAATTACATCAAACTAAAAAGCTTCTGCACAGAAAAGGTAACAATCAACAGAGTGAAAAGGTAATATGACACAGGATAAATATTTGAAAACTTTATATATAAGGAGGTTAATATCCAAAAAATATAAGGAAATTTTACAACTCAAGAGTAAATAACCTAATAACCTGATTTTAAAAAATGAACAGGCTGAGCATGGTGGCTCACACTTGTAATCCCAGCACTTTGGGAAGCTGAGGTGGGCAGATCACCTGAGGTCAGGAGTTTGAGACCAACCTGACCAACATGGGAAAACCCCATCTCTACTAAAAATACAAAAATTAGCCAGGCATGGTGGCCCGTGCCTGTAATCCCAGCTACTTGGGAGGCTGAGGTAGGAGAATCGCTTGAACTGAGGAGGCAGAGGTTGCAGTGAGCCGAGTCACGCCACTGCACTCCAGCCTGGGCAACAGAGAGAAACTCCGATTCAAAAAATATATAAATAAGTAATAAATAAATAAATAAATAGATGGAATGAACAAAGAACTTAGATGTTTCTCCAAAGGAGACACACAAATGGCAAACAGGTATATGAAAAGATGCTCAATATCAGGGAAATGCAAATCAAAACCACAATGAGATATCAGCTCATACCTGTCAAGATGGTTATTACCAAAACAAAACAAAACAAAATAAGAGACATCAAGTGTTTGTAACAACGTGGAGAAATTGGAACCCTTGCACATTGTTGATGGGTATGCAAAATGGTACAGCTGCTACGGAAGACAGTATGGACATTCCTCAAAAAGTTAAAAATGGAACCACCATATAGTCCAGCAATCCCACTTCTGGGCATTTATCCAAAAGAACTGAAATCAGGATCCTGAAGAGGTATGAGCACTCCTTTGTTCATTACTGTACTAGTCATAATAACCAAAATGTGGAAACAACTTTAATGCCCATCCACAGATGAATGGACACAGAGACTGTGGTATATACACATAATGGAATACTGTTCGGCCTTAAAATAAAGGAAATTCTGCAATATGCAACTGCATGACTAAACCTTGAGGACATTATTCCAAGTAAAATAAGCCAGACACAGAAAGACAAATACTGCACGATTTCACTTATGTGTGGTATTTAAAATAGTCAAATTCATAAAAATCAAAAAGTACAATGGTGATTAGCAGGAGGTAGAAGAAGAGCAAGTGGGGTCTTACTAATAAATGGGCATACAGTTTCAGTTAAGCAAGATGAATAATCTCTAGAGTTCTTCTGTGTAACATTGTACCTATAGTCAAAAATCACATATTGTACACTTAAAACTTTATTAAAAGAGTAGATCTTATGTTAAATGTTCTTACCACAAAAAATTAAAAATTTTTGAAAGAACACTAACAGCTTGCTATACCTAGTTACTTAACCTAGCATGAATCATAATGTTTTTTGATAACTGTTTAATGTTCTGATTCTGCTGACATACTGCAGAAACCACACGAGAACAGGGATTATATCTGGCTTTGTTGAAAACTGTATCCTCAGCTACTAGCACTGAGCTTAACAAAACATAAGTGCTCTATAGACTGTAGCTGAATGAATGAGTAAGGCAAACAAACAAAAAAGAGGGCACAACCAGTTGGGGAGGAGGAGTTTTTGATGTCAATACAATAGACCAAGAGTGATTTCTTTATTAGCTAAAAACTCAAGCAAATAAGCAAAACATCCAGTACACAAATAAGCAAAGGACAAGAAAAGTATTTCACAAAAGTGGAAATAGGGCTCACTAAAAAATATATGGACAACTATTTAGCCCCACTTTAGTCAAATACCCTCTTCATGTAAAATGATTTTCAGATTTAATTTTGTTTTCTACTACAAGGCAATACTAGCAGCTTAACAAGGGTGTGGGGAAAGGATAAAAAAAGTCACAATTTCTGTGGGTAGTGCAAATTGATCCAAATATTTTTAAACATATTAGTTAATATGTAATCTTAATAGTTTAATCAACACAACTGGTAAATTTCAATTTTTTAGAAAATATTCAATAGAATATACTATGTAAAATATGATGTATCCTCTGGTTATATCATATAATTTTTATGAGGATGATTAAGAAGCAATAGAAAAATATGCTTATCATATGTGAAAAAATAAGAAATATAAAATTTTGAAGACTGTATCATTAAGTACATAAAAAGCTATAAATAGGTAGTTTTGAAGTCTTTGGGGAAAAACATTTTTAAAAACTATGAAGAGGGAAAAGAGCCGAAAACATTTTTAACTAACAGTCAAAACTACTTAGTTAATTCAATGAAAACAGAACTTGTGCCTGAATTATCTTTAAATTTCCACTTTGCTTTTTATGTGAGCTGGTCTAATCATTATACCTCTCTTATAAAGAAATAAAAATACTTTCCATTGCCTTTACTTTTGCTATTTTGATAGGTGTTTTGGGAGGAATTAGAAAAAGGAATAGTCACAATGACTCAAAACCATGCCATGTATGTGTGTTTCCTTTGTTTGCATGTTATCCTTATTATTCTTAAGAGGATACTAACTCAAATTCTTTTGGAATAGCCAGGATCATAAAAACATCAAGTGTGTTTCTTACAAACCATTTCTATAATTCATAAAGAAAGAATTTAATAGTTGGAAATGTGTGTGTTGTTAATATAGTATAAAACAGGTTATTGCTTATCCCCAAGTAAATGCATACTACAGATTGATAGGAAACTTAGCTACCAAATTACAAAACTGTAGAAAAATCTCAAAATGCAATTTCAAAGGAACCAATTGTGTAAAAGCAGACATCAAGATGGAATTCATCATGCAAGGGATTTAATGGGGGAAACACCAGCAAGAGAAAATAAATGAAGAAGTAACCAGAAGAAGCTTGGAGAGCTGTTAGACCATGCAGGTCTAACTCCAGTGAAGGAAGGAGAGAAGGATGAAAGCTTAAGTAGGAAACCTCTTAGACTGCAATGCAATCCTAAGGAAGTTCAGCAAAGTTGCTGAGGAGTCCTTGAGCCAAAGTCTCCCACCGGAGGAATCCTTTGCCTCCCAAGAATGGCCTTGCCTTAGTATTTCTACCATGTTCAGTCACAGACTTGCAGTAGCCCCTTGTAAGTCTGGCCTCTCTACAAATATAGTGTTGGATTCGGAGTGCAGCAGGTGGGACCGTCAGTTAATTATGCCTTCTGAAACAGTTTGCCGTAAGAGGCTCTTTTCCATGGCTGCCACAGGCATTAATATTTAACTACATTCAGAACTGAGCATCTTATTTTACAATAGAGAAATTATTTCAATGTTTTCTCAAAGTAGTCACTGTTTTTGGTGGAATTTGTTTTCTTAAAACTTTAAGAGGCATCTGTCACTTCTCAGCAATGTAGAACAGTATGCGAGATAAACATCTCATGACAACATCCCAGGTGATAACTAGAAAAGTTGTATTTCCATTGTTTTGATGGTGAAACTGAGGCATAGATAAGCTAAAGGAATTACCAAAGTTAACAATAAGTAAATGATACCAGAACCCAAATCACTGCTGTTTCAGTATAAGAAAGCTCCTTCTCTTTTATATTCATATAAATACAAATATAAGAGAAATTTCAGGGTGTTAGCATAGATACCATGCAAACACCCAGAACCAAATGGTGATCTAGATCACTGTTATACATTACAAGAGAGGAGACTACACAGTTAAATGCATTTATTTCAGAACGAGGTTAAAAGACCCAGCTGTCTAGTCATAAACTTCCCTGTGAGACACTTAAATTTTCATTAATTATTTCATTTTCTGCCCCAGAAAATTAAAGAAAAATATTAAGGTTTTCCTAAATAAGTCTTGAGAATATATGCTCAATTCTGGGCTTCAACCAAGGTATAGAAACCTAATGTTCTTCTGGCCAGTAGCTACAAAGAGGTTAATTGATGCCTTTAAAAGAACTCCTAGCTTCAAATATTCTGACTCACATGGAAAACAATTTCCTCTATTTAATTCTATACATGGAATGGTGTGTTTTTGAATAATTTACACCTTAAAAATGAATATTTTCTCTGGCCAACTGTCATGAGAATGGTTCCTTGTACTTTATTAAGTCAAATGTTGAAGCAAGCAAATTGATGACCTTTGAAAGCTGAATTAAGTTATTAATGCAAAATTATTACAACTTTCTTCATGATGATCTATTGGTCTAAAATAACTTGTTTCTGCTCAAGAAATGGTTGACAGTTGAACGATGCTTATATACTTTTAAATACATCCTGCATAAAACATGAAGAAAGAACTTTATTTTCCAAAGAGTGAGCACATGTCTGTCCAACATAAGTCTCCTCAGAGCCAACTCTAACCTTATCATCTCCTCTAGTGGCTGCTCTTAGTTCCAGACTTCTGGATTTGAAAATTTTTCGGGATCCTGTGAATATTATGTAGCAAAATTTGGGAGATGGACGGAAGGGTGTGGATATTAAACTTACTAAAAACATTCTCAAGGTACCCCTGGAATAAGGTACAAAGTTAATTTGTCTTGGATTTTTAAAAATTATCTTGAACAATCCATGAATTTTGTTAGCCAGCTACATGTATTCAAAATGATGAGCTTCATTAGTCATATTCACTCAGGTACATTATATTTCTAAAAAAACAAAAGAAAATTCATTGCCATAGAAAGTTGCTGTTTTCTCAGACTTAGAAAAGTGAAATCCCCTGTTTATTTATAACAACATTTATAGCAGTCCAAGTTTTAGAGACCATCATCGCCAGATTTTAAGTTGAGCCTGAAACAGCCTACCTCAAAGACCTCTCTTGGGTGGCTTAGTAATTTTATCTTTTTCTACTCAGGCCATCTACATAGTTACGCAGAATAAACTCACATCATTTCTTTTGCACATTTGGCTTCACTCCTTTGGGGCAAATTTACTCCTTGAATAAAACAGAATTGTAATGGGTGTCTGAGATACTTGATGATTTAAAAGGAAACAAAATATACACTCCATGTTCAACATGCATTAGGTCATTGGCATTTTTGCATAATGATTTCATAAAAATATAGCCATGTGCGGGACTGAAAATAAATTTATTTAAGTTTCACTCAGTAAAAAAGCATTCAAGGAAGTAATTCAAAGAGTTTAAAATAATTATTTTCATTTTCCAGTCAAAACTACTCAAATGTATTAGAATTCGAAATCAAACAAGGGTAAAACAGTCAGAGAATCTTGACGTTTGAAAGAACCTAAGAGCCTGTCTTAATTCAGACAGTTTTAGATGTGTGTAATAAGGAACCAAATTGACATTGCTTTAAGCAAGACAGAAAATAAGTTTTCTCTTGTGCAATACTGCAGAAGAAGGCCAACTTTGCTAACAAGGATGCTGTGCTCCATTGGGTCATCCAGGGACCCAGGATCCTATCATATCGCTCTGCATCACTAGTCCACAAAATCCAGGATTGCTCATCACTTCATTCCTATATCAGGCACACTCTAAATATTGCACATATCACTTCAGCTCATATCCCACAGCCGAAGGGATATGATGCAAAGGATGCAAAGGAGGCTGAGAGATGTATTGTTTATTCTAAACAGTTACATGGCTAAGAAAGAAAGGCATACAATATTTCAGAGGATAAGTAAAAGTCTGTGCCCTATCGGTCATTTTAGATCTCACTACATAAAACAAATAAAAAAAAAAAACCCTATCCATGGTTTCTTCATTCCCCATGAGGTTTCTCTAATGACTAGCACTCTATAAAACACATTTAGAAACAACTACTCAAGACCAGGATAGGAAACTAAAATGTCTTAAAGGGTCGGGCAGGTAAAGTGAATAAATGCAGCAAGTTGGGTGGGACCTGTGACAGGCAGCAGGACAATCTAAAGAGAACATTCCCAGGTAGGTCTAAAGGGGTCCGCTGCACTCTGTACCACTAATTGCTGCTTTGCAGAATTCTGAGTCCTGAGTTACCAGATATTTCAATTTTTCAAGAGAAGCCAGAAATCTGTATTTTAGTGAAATCTCCTAGTAACCAGCATCATCTTGATACCAAAGCCGGGCAGAGACACAACCAAAAAAGAGAATTTTAGACCAATATCCTTGATGAACATTGATGCAAAAGTCCTCAATAAAATACTGGCAAACCGAATCCAGCAGCACATCGAAAAGCTTATCCACCATGATCAAGTGGGCTTCATCCCTGGGATGCAAGGCTGGTTCAATATATGCAAATCAATAAATGTAATCCAGCATATAAACAGAAACAAAGACAAAAACCACATGATTATCTCAATAGATGCAGAAAAGGCCTTTGACAAAATTCAACAACCTTCATGCTAAAAACTCTCAATAAATTAGGTATTGATGGGACGTATTTCAAAATAATAAGAGCTACCTATGACAAACCCACAGCCAATATCATACTGAATGGGCAAAAACTGGAAGCATTCCCTTTGAAAACTGGCACAAGACAGGGATGCCCTCTCTCACCATTCCTATTCAGCATAGTGTTGGAAGTTCTGGCCAGGGCAATTAGGCAGGAGAAGGAAATAAAGGGTATTCAATTAGGAAAAGAGGAAGTCAAATTGTCCCTGTTTAGATGACATGATTGTACATCTAGAAAACCCCATTGTCTCAGCCCAAAATCTCCTTAAGCTGATAAGCAACTTCAGCAAAGTCTCAGGATACAAAATCAATGTCCAAAAATCACAAGCGTTATCATACACCAATAACAGACAAACAGAGAGCCAAATCATGAGTGAACTCCCATTCACAATTGCTTCAAAGAGAATAAAATACCTAGGAATCCAACTTACAAGGGACATGAAGGACCTCTTCAAGGAGAACTACAAACCACTGCTCAATGAAATAAAAGAGGATACAAACAAATGGAAGAACATTCCATGCTCATGGGTAGGAAGAATCAATATCGTGAAAATGGCCACACTGCCCAAGGTAATTTATAGATTCAATGCCATCCCCATCAAGCTACCAATGACTCTTCACAGAATTGGAAAAAACTACTTTAAAGTTCATATGGAACCAAAAAAGAGCCTGCATTGCCAAGTCAATCCTAAGCCAAAAGAACAAAGCTGGAGGCATCATGCTACCTGACTTCAAACTATACTACAAGGCTACAGTAACCAAAACAGCATGGTACTGGTACCAAAACAGAGATATAGATCAATGGGACAGAACACAGCCCTCAGAAATAACGCCACATATCTACAACTATCTGATCTTTGACAAACCTGACAAAAACAAGCAATGGGGAAAGGATTCCCTATTTAATAAATGGTGCTGGGAAAACTGGCTAGCCATATGTAGAAAGCTGAAACTGGATCCCTTCCTTACACCTTATACAAAAATCAATTCAAGATGGATTAAAGACTTAAACGTTAGACCTAAAACCATAAAAATCCTAGAAGAAAACCTAGGCATTACCATTCAGGACATAGGCATGGGCAAGGACTTCATGTCTAAAACACCAAAAGCAATGGCAACAAAAGACAAAATTGACAAATGGGATCTAATTAAACTAAAGAGCTTCTGCACAGCAAAAGAAACTACCATCAGAGTGAACAGGAAACCTACAAAATGGGAGAAAATTTTCGCAACCTACTCATCTGACAAAGGGCTAATATCCAGAATCTACAATGAACTCAAACAAATTTACAAGAAAAAAACAAACAACCCCATCAAAATGTGGGCAAAGGACATGAACAGACACTTCTCAAAAGAAGACATTTATGCAGCCAAAAAACACATGAAAAAATGCTCATCATCACTGGCCATCAGAGAAATGCAAATCAAAACCACAATGAGCTACCATCTCACACCAGTTAGAATGGCAATCATTAAAAAGTCAGGAAACAACAGGTGCTGGAGAGGATGTGGAGAAATAGGGACACTTTTACACTGTTGGTGGGACTGTAAACTAGTTCAACCATTGTGGAAGTCAGTGTGGCGATTCCTCAGGGATCTAGAACTAGAAATACCATTTGACCCAGCCATCCCATTACTGGGTATATACCCAAAGGACTATAAATCATGCTGCTATAAAGACACATGCACACGTGTGTTTACTGTGGCACTATTCACAACAGCAAAGACTTGGAACCAACCTAAATGTCCAACAGTGATAGACTGGATTAAGAAAATGTGGCACATATACACCATGGAATACTATGCAGCCATAAAAAAGGATGAGTTCATGTCCTTTGTAGGGACATGGATGAAATTGGAAATCATCATTCTCAGTAAACTATCACAAGGACAGAAAACCAAACACCGCATGTTCTCACTCATAGGTGGGAATTGAACAATGAGAACACTTGGACACAGGAAGGGGAACATCAAACACCGGGGCCTGTTGTGGGGTGGGGGGAGGGGGGAGGGATAGCATTAGGAGATATACCTAATGCTAAATGACGAGTTAATGGGTGCAGCACACCAGCATGGCACATGTATACATATGTAACTAACCTGCACATGGTGCACATGTACCCTAAAACTTAAAGTATAATAATAATAAAAATATATATATATATATTTTTTTTTTAAAAAAAGAAATCTCCTAGTAACCAATTAGTTAAAACATCTTATAATATTGTAAAGGACAGAAACACATCTACAGGCCAGATTTACTCAAGGGTCACTCAATGCAATGTGTAATCTTCTGGGCCAATCGTTTTATTTTCTAGACAAAGAAACAGAGACCTAGAGTGGTCAAGTGACTAGCCCCCAGTCACATAGCTAGCCACACCTGGTTAGTTGTTTTGTCTTTCAGTTCAATATTTCTTACGTTAGACAATCATAAAATATCAGTATGAAGTTCAGAATAAGCAAATAAAAATTATTTAAAAGTAATCTAATTCTATGCTATAATTTAGTGTTCAGCTTTGAAATGAAATAGTTGACAACAGATCAAGTGTGTGTTCCATGTCCAATTCCCTCCGAATCCCATAACTGAGAGTGAGCTCTGTTCTATTTTCTACCCTCCTGACTTGTATTTGCCAGAGACCCAGCTGCCTGATCAGTAACACATGAGGCCGGGAAGCGTCAAAGGATATCACTGGCTACGACCCAGGAGCCAATCTTTCCTTTCTCCAGCATGGACCATTTAATTGCATACTCATATCATATCAGTGGCAGATTCATTGCAAAACACATTTTTCACTTTTATATGTATTTTTTCTGTATGTTGTAAAGTTATATGGTTAAAATATTTTTGGCTGAAAATTTTAACTATATAAAATGGATAACATTTACTTTCTAAATGCCTGAGTTGAAATAAATTGTTCATGGATTAGTTATTAATATATGGTACTTGCATGTGCTGTTTTATCAACATTTCTATTCTTTAGAAGCTTCTTGCAGAATAATTTTATGCTAAAGTTTTTGAGCCCAGCATGGGAAAATACCTCATATCTTATTTCTACATTATGGTGAAATATTTTGAGTCTAAACATTAGATAAAGAGCTGGGCTTATTTTCTAATTTTTTTAAAAAAACTTTTGTTTTGATCAATCTTTCCAACACTTAAGTAGATTTTGTTCTGGTCTAGTGAATGTTATCCTAAACATATAGCAAGAGGAAAGGCTGAAAATATTAGTGTATACTCATATAATAATTCAAAAAGATAGTTTTCAAATTTGAATTTGCTTTAATTTAAAATATTTTATCTCTCTCTCTCTCTCTCTCTCTCTCTCTCTCTCTGTCTCCCCCTCCTCTTTCTCTCTTTAAACCAGAGGTTTTGGTGATTTCTGTGACACTAGCAGTGGGCAAAATTAATGCCTATAGGGGGCCAGCCTCAAAATGAGTTAAGAGGTGGGTTTGGTTTGGCTGAAAAAAATATAAAATGCTTCCACTCTCTATTTCTAATGTCTTAAATCATTATATTTTATTAATAGAATGAATTAGATCACATGGAACAATTCTAACTTCACCATTAGGAAAACACAGATACAAATGAACATGTAAAGCTGCTATTTCCTGATCACTTTCTGAAGTCTTATCTTTTTTCTCTTCTTTCTTTATTCTTCATTCTCTTTCTCTCTTCTGTTTGTTTCCATCACAGTTCCTTGTTTAATCTTTTAATTTTCCTTTAACATTCTCTCTAGTCCTCCAGTAATGAATACTGTCAGTGTATTCCTATACAGGTTGGTGTAAATCATTTATCAATTCTATTTTATTACAAATTTACCAAATACGTATATAAGTATGTCCCTTTAGAAAAAAATTGACAAATCATTTAATAATTGCATTGAAGACAAAAACAATCCTTTGTAAGTTTAACTGAAAGCTGCCTTCTAATATACCACCCTTAACACCCAACATATGAGATGTGGTATTGATAAAAAGTTTCACACTTACTAATACACTTGAGAGGATATTTGTTTTAGAACCATATTAATTCATTTACATTTTCTTTCCTCCAGTTGTTTATCTGTAAAGTAAAAAGGTCAGAGTAGAAAATATTTTTCTGAAGTCCTGTAGCTCTAAAAATCTGCTTCTGTTTGTCTTTCTGATGACACAGTTAAGCGTTGTTTTTGAGCACCATCCCCTCAACCAAAGGAACAAAAAAGATGCATTAAAATATACTAAACTTTTGCAAATGCTGATCTTTTTCCAGGCACCTTTATCTTCTTTTTATTGATGCATAATATTTGTACATATTTATGGGGCATATGTGATATTTTATTATGTACATAGAACGTGTAATGATCAAGTAAATCCGGGTACTTGGGGTATCCATTACCTTGAGTAGTTACCATTTGTATGTGTTGGGGATGCTTCAGATTCTCTCTTCTAGCCATTTTGAAATATACCATACATTTTTGTTAACTATAGTCATCCTACTCTGCTATCAAACATAGCAGAGTATTTTAACTTATTTCTTGTATCTAACTTATTTTAACTTATTTCTTTTGTCTAACTGCATGTTTGTACCCATTAATCAAATTCTCTTTATCTCCAACCACCAGCTTCACCTCCTAGTCTCTGTTATCTATCATCTTCTACTCTATGCCTTTATGCTTCCACATGTAAGTGAGAAAACTCAATATTTGTTTTTCTGCAGGCAACTTTATCTTTAACCTAAGTAAAAAGCATTCCATTTCCACTACATTTATGGTAAAGTCTTTTGTCTTCTTAAAATTTGACCCTTTTCTTTCCTCTGCTAAAGAGAACAGCCTTGCTTGGCTAATGTGCAGGTGGTAATTTTGCTTGCATTAAACAGGGAGCAAAGATAGAAATACAATAGAAAGATAAAACCTTAAGCAACAGGAGTTAGAGAAGAAAGTTTACCTAGCATTATGGCAAGAAAAAAAAATTATTCACCAAACACAGCCAAGGGCAAATGTGGTTTCAGCCCATCCCTGTGGATCATTTCACACAAACAATGTTGAATCACGGTCTTGATTTAAATGAATAATTAAACCAAATGAAGTACAGACCCACCCAAATGAAGGGGATCTTTACTTTCCTTGCCTCATTTTCACCCACCACCTTCCTCAATAACAAGCTGGATGCCAAAGCTCAGGAGTAAACGAGGATGAAAAGTAGTTATCAACTCAGTGAAAATAGATTTGATCTTCTGGTTTAATTTTCTGGTTCGATCTTATTTTGCTTACTGCAGCATTCTTCTTTTTTTAAGAATGCAGTTAAACTGAGGTAGTTCAATTTACCAATTATGTGAAAAATTAGTATGTGAAGGAAGCAATAGAAAAAAACATTGAGAGCACTGTGTGTGTCACTTAACCATAGGAATACATCCTGAGAAATGTATTGTTAAGTGAGCTCCTCATCATGTGAACATGGTAGAGTCACTTCCACAAACCTAGATGGCATAACTTACCACACACCTAAGCTATATGTCATAGCCTATTTCTCCTAGGATACAAGCCTGTACAGCATGTTATTATAGCGAATACGGTTAAGTTACCATAACACATAAGTATTTGTGTATCTGAACATAGAAAAAGGTAAAAATACAGTATTAATGATTTTTTTAAATGGCACACCTGTATAGGACACCTACCATGAATGGAGCCTGCAGGATTGAAAGTTGCTCTGGGTGAGTCAGTGAGTGAGTGGAGTGAATGTGAAGGCCTAGGACACTACTGCACACTACTATAGACTTTATAAACACTGTACACTGAGGCTATGCTAAATCTATTTTTTTAGTTGTATTTCTTCAATAATAAATTAACCTAGTCTTGCTATAACGTCTTTACTTTAAAAGCTTTTTAATTTTTAAAAACTTTTTGGCTCTTTAGTAGTAACACTTAGCTTAAAACACACACATTGTATAGCTGTACAAAAATAGTTTCTTTACATCCATATTTTATAAGTTGTTCTATTTTTACTTTTTTGCTTTTTAAACTTTCGTGTTAAAAACTAAGATGCAAATGCATACATTAGCCTAGGCCTGAACTATCTTCTCCCTCCACATCTTATCTCACTGGAAGGTCTGCAGTGGCAATAACATGCATGGAGCTGCTGTCTTCTATGATAAAAATGCCTTCTGGAATACCTCCGGACATGACTGATGCTGTTTTACAGTTTTTTATTTTATTTATTTTTAATCCCTTGAGTTTATTGAACATCAATTTTAGTACATTTTCTTTTGAAGCATCTTCTCGTACGTGTTACTCTTATTCATTTCCACCGCTACCACCCTGGTTCATGTTTTCATCATTTAAGTTTATATAAGCAGGTTATGGAGCTGTCTTAATCCAATTAGATACAAAAAGAAAAAAATATCCTTTACTTTTCATCTGCTACTTACTGTCTTAAACACACTCTTTTGACTTTCCTTCCCTCAATTCTTTTTTTAAAATTTTATTTTATTTTATTTTAAGTTACAGGATGCATGTGCAGGAGGTGCAGGTTTGTTACACAGGTAAATGTGTGCCATGGTGGTTTGCTGCACCTATCAAACCGTCACCTAGGTATTAAGCCCCACATGCATTAGCTATTTATCCTCATACTCTCCCTCCTCCCTGCTCTTCAACAGGCCATTGACCTAGCAATCCCATTACTGGGTATATACCCAAAGGAATATAAATCATACTGTTATAAAGCTACATGTATACATATGTTCACTGCAGCACTATTCATAATAGCAAAGACATGGAATCAACCCAAATGCCCACCATTGATAGACGGGATAAAGAAAGTATGGTACATATACACCATGGAATACTATACAGCCATAAAAAGGAATGAGATTATGTCTTTGCAGGGACATGAATGGAGCTGGAAGTCATTATCCTTAGCAAACTAACACAGGAACAGAAAACCAAACACCTTATGTTCTCACTTATAAGTGGGAGCTGAGCAATGAGACATGGACACAGGGAGGGAAACGACCTTTTTTATAAGTATAAGGAGTACCCTCTAAAATAATGATAAAGAGTATAGTAGATACATAAACCAATAACATAGCCATTTATTATCATTATGAAGTACTATGAAGTACACATAATTGCATCTGCTGTACTTTTATATGACTGGCAGTGCAGTAGATTTGTTTACACCAGCATCATCACAAACACATGGGTGATGTGTTGCACTATGATGTTGCAATGGCCACAATGTCTCTAGACAATAGGACTTTCTCAGCTGCATTATGATTTTATGGTACCATCACTGTACATGCAGTCCATCTTTGACCAAAACATTGTTATGTGGCACACAGCTGTACTTTTAGGGGCAGAGAGTTAAGCAAGAGAAAGAAATAAAAGAAAAAATAATGTAATAATGGGCAGTAAGTGCCTTAGTTCATTTCATGCTGCTATAATGGAATACCAGAGATGGGTAATTTATAAAGAACAGAAATTTATTTCATACAGTTCTGGAAGCTGGGAAGTCCAAGATCATGGCACCAGCAGATTTGGTAGTTCTAAGGGCCCAGTCTCTGTTTCTAAGTTGGTGCCTTGAACTCTACAGCCTCTGGAGGGAAGGAACACTGTTTCTCACATGGCAGAAAAATGGAAGATCAAAGAAAAAGAAGCCACTCCTGAAATTCTTTTGTTTTAAGGCATCAAATCTGTCAATCAGGGCAGAGCCCTCATGGACTAATCACTTCTTAAAGGTCCCACCTCTTAATACTGTTAAAATAGCCAATAGATTTCATCATGAGATTTTGAGGGGACTAACATTCAATTCAGCAATAAACAAGAAAAGGGATTCTCTGTCACTCTCTCTTCCTATGTATCTCCCCATTTCCCCCTTTCTTTATCTCTCCCGCTCTCCTTCCCTCTCTTTCTATCTCCTTGACTTTGCAGCTTCTAAACTATCTCCTCTACTTAGGAACCTATTCCTTGAAGAGCCATTCTTGTTCTTCTGCTCTTTACTTAGGACTCTTAGTGTTGTGTAAGTTGGGAAGGGGAGTGGGGTAGATTTACAAAGTAGTATATTCTCCACTAAATTGCTCTAATTCCTAACTGACTTCTCTACCATGAACTTGGCCCCTCACGAATCTATCCTCCACATCACTGCCAGAAAAATCATTCTAAAATGCAAAAATAATCACCTCATGACCATGCTTGAAGTCTTTTGAAATGACTCCTTAAGGTGTATGGATGCTGTTATCTAAATTAGCTGAGCTCAAAGATCATCACTCCATCTCCAACTACCCTAAAATACTTATAATTTCCCAAATATCTCATACAGGGTTCATACTAAGTGCCTTAGCACAGATTCCTCTGCATCTGGCTATTTTCTGACCATCCTTAAAGATTGACTTTGAGCCATCCTCCTCCAGGAAGCTTTCTCCTACCCATATGATTTAGTGATCTCTGCTCAACATGTGTCACAGCAAATCTTACATGTAATTATCATTATTAGATTTATTTGTCTGTCTTCTACTCACATACAAGACTGTGAGCAGGGCAGCAGAGTGTTAGCAATAAGGTAGGCATTAGGTGTTGGGGGATGCTAACACATAGCATTAAAATGTAGATGCTCCACCTTCATCACATACCAGTTGTATATAGTATGCACCTAACAGTCACATCACTTCACATCCTACACCTCAGTTTCCTCATCTGTAACACCGAAAAAGGCTGGCATATAGAAAACACTTGAGATATATTATCTAGTATAATCCACTCAATGATATCTTTTTAGTATCTCTAACCAATCTATGTTTATATCTATAGCTATATCTACGTCTATACCTTTGTATTTGTCTAGAGAATAATAGAACCTAGACCCTGTTGTGACTCTTAATATAGTTACATCTAAAGGCTACTCCAGTAGGGTTCTACTGTCTCAGAAATGTGCTCCAGAAGCCAGTTATAGATAAATATGCCAAATACTCTTTAAATTAAACATGTTCAATAGACACATTAGGATGTCACAGAATCTAAAAAAGACCTCAAGCCAAATTTTTTATTTTATTCAACCAGAACACACTATATACTCCTTCCTTGAGATGGTCTTAGTTTATGCCTTTACTTCTGGCATAATGATTAATAGTATCCCTTTTCACTTTCAAACATGTCCTGATTTGGACAATTAATTATATAACCATTCTATTTGTGGCTCATGCTGATTCTGATTGGTCATAAGTCATAGTGTTTTCTTCTGATTGGTCAGTGTCTGTGCAACACCAGTTGTTAAATATTTTTAAATAATTTATATGCCTGTGAGATAACTGAGGCATGGAAACGTGACATTATTTTTTTTGTAAAATAATTCATTCCTATAAAATGAATTGAATTCAAATTCATTAAATCCTTAGGATAAGAAAAATGAGAAGAACAAGACAAAAGAGAACCTACTTCACCCTCTAAGGACTGACCTGAAAACAGAAAAAAGACGTGGGCAATTTTGATTCTCACTGGCAATACCTTCCTCATTCCCACCCTTTCCACCTGGACTCTCTCTCTTCTTTCTGGTTTCTCTTAGGTTCAGTGACTGTTGAGTATATTTGTTCTTTATTACCTCCCTAACCTCACAGGAACTTAAGGTGCTAACCTAGACACCCAGTTGTTCCGTCTGCTCAAAATGGAAACTCAAACTATTGTCTCTTCTTTATATAAGCACTCTCCATTGATTTGCAGATGATTTAGATAGAACTGTCTTCTACTTGATCAGTCATAGAATTCCTTCAAAGAGTATATATCCTTGAAAGGCAGGGCAAGAACATCGAGTTCTGTACTTAAGCAAACATTATCCTTGCCATATCCATAAGGCTGTCCTTCTTAAACTAAAAGGATAATGAGAATTGTACCATACAATCATTTAGTGAAGAGAAAATGTTTCTGCCAAAGACTTTTTAATGTGAATTAAATTTTCATGTTAAGAAAAGCTATGCCATAAATATAGGATAAAGTGCTTCCCAAGAATCTTGAGGAAGAACCTTTTCCACTTCCCCAGGAGGCTTAAGGAGTTAAGATCTAAGATCTAAACAGTAAATCATGGTGTTTATTCCATGATTTCCTACAGATAGAGATAGAGTTGTAGTGGTTCAGGTTGGGGCTTAACAAAGTTATTTTAGTCCCAGTAAAGGTCTACTTATCTTCTGTCTATTTATTGCCAGCCATATGAAACATCTTCCAAAAAACATAGTGAAATGTGTAGGAAGTTGAATAGCGATGAATAAACCCAATAAAAACCATAATAATAATCCTTTAGAAGAAACCGCTGTTCTGATTTCTTTTACCATCAGAGTTTTCTGTTCCAGACTTTGATATTAACATAATTATACAACATGTATTATTTTAGGCCAATGAGTGCCACAGAGCTGCTTGTGTTTGGATTTTTTTTCTGGGGGGGGGGGGTTCCAATTAACCTATCAAGTTAGACCTACCCAGAGTAGTTTTTGCTTGTCCTCTATTGACCTACTGCTATTTCAACATAAATAGACACAAAAGGTTCATGAAAAAAGTAAATCCTTTGTTCATGTGTACCTAATACACCAACATATTTTTGTTATTGGGAAAGAATTTCTCAGGTCATTTGGTACATCAAAGATTGATATTTCAAAAAAGCAGAAATGATATAGCTTCAACAGAAGCTCTAAATCATAACCTCTAAATCTCTAAATGAAACTGCCTGGGCCTAAATCTTGGCTCCATCACTTACTCACTTACCTTAAGGTAAGTTACTTCTTTCTCTGCCTGTTACACATTTGTAAAGTGATGAATGTTATAGAATCATCCTCATAGAGCTGCTATGAGGATTAGATCAGTTCATATATAGAAAGCATTTACCACGGTGCCTGGCACAGAGCAAGCACACAGTAATGCTTTAGCTGTTATTACAGATACAAGTAATATGTGAATTTAAACATATCAAACAAACATATTTTACTTTTGTATTATATGAAAGTCACTGTTCCCATGGGACATAAAAATATATCAAAAACAAGAGAAAAGAATACAAAATTTATCTATTATAATTCATTATGTTATGCTAAGTTACCCCTAGAAAGTGGTTTTCTATTGTTAAAAATAGAAAAAAATATAAATATAAAGGTGTTTAAACTTTCTACTACCTGCTGTTGTCTACACATCAGGATAGCAGATAAGAATTGACCCATCATTCCAGCGCCACCTTCCAGGTTTTCTAAAGCCTTTGCTCTGGCAATTCAGGCCCAGCCAGAGTGCTTTTCCCAGGGCTACACTCTTGCTTTCATTGTGCTTTTCTGAACACAGTTATGGTGTCCATTTTCCTTGTTATTTCTCCCCTGCCTTTTGTTTGTTTGTTTGTTTGTTTTTGAGACACAGTCTCACTCTGTTGCCCAGGCTGGAGTGCAGTGGCATCATCTCAGCTCAACACAACCTCCATCTCCCAGGTTCAAGCAATTCTCCTGCCTCAGCCTCCCGAGTAGCTGGGACTACAGGTGCATGACACCACACCCAGCTATTTTTTGTGTTTTTAGTAGAGATGGGGTTTCACCATGTTGGCCAGGCTGGTCTTGAACTCCTGGCCTCAGGTCTTCCACCCACCTCAGCCTCCCAAAGTGCTGGGATTACAGGCAAGAGCCACTGCTCCTGGCCTCTCTCTCTCTTCTTTTCATATTTTATCTTATTTTCATGGATTTTTACCCTTGCTGTATATAATTCTTAAAATACATGTCCCAAAATTATGTTGCCATCAGAATTGCATCATAGAAATATCCTTTTAGTTATCCTAGTAGCTAAAAATAAAATAAAAATTTAAAAGCATGTTGAAACACATAGTACCTTCTAGAAGGTTTGTGGTTACAAAGTAAGAATCAGATTGATATCATATACATACTTGAAAATGTTTTTTCATACCGTATGTTTTCCAATCCTTCTGAATGATTGTACTCTCTTTAATTAATAAAAATACTTCTTGTTTCCCTTTAAGAGACAATTTATCTGCTTCTGTAAAATACAGGCAGGATAAAATTTGTTTAACTCTAATTTTTTATCTTCTCTTTATTTAATGTTTTCTATTTAAATATGTTAAAAGCCTAAATAAATATGTTCTCTCTTAAGGTTAAGATTTTTGTTCCTGCAGTAAAGCAATTTTCATAATATTCTGATCATGTGAGCACAAGTTAACAAATTCCTCAATATTCACAAGTTCACTTATCAGGGCAGGTTCACAGTGATTTCATTTATCAGTATTAACTTCTATTTGCTCCCAGAGAAGAATTTTTCACATATGGTTTTTCTAACTCTATTTTGTGTCCCTCTTTTTCATATTTCCATTGCCATATTCTGTTTTATTCAAGCAGCTTAAAACATCACAGTGTCTCTCTACCCATGCAACATTGTCTTTTCATTTCTATAATATGCACTTTTTTATTTTAATAGAATCTTGGACTGCTTAGTTGTATTTCTAGAACATCAAGCCAGAAGTTCTTGCTATTTTTTCCAGTTATTTCTTCCAAAATATATCACATTACTTTACTCTTAAAGCTTACATCATTCTCTTTCATCCCTGGCAAAGAATGACTACAACTATGCCTCTTGGAGTAATACTTAGTTATTTGATAATCAAAATTCTCATAGCATATTCTCCAGGCATCCCATGCTGATTTATTTTTGACTCTTTTTCTGGTAATAAAACATTGCTTAAAAAAATTCTGTGATGTCTGATTCATGGCTTCAAATAGACTTTCCCTTTCCCATTTTGACCTTTCCTTTCTTGACTTAGATCTCAGAAAATATGAGGAGGCACCTAAAGGAAAATAAGCCCTCATGTCCCACTAGCAGATAAATCTTAAATAGTTCTCCTTGACCTTATTCTTTGTTCTCTTTTTTAAGCATTAACTCCCCCTGCCCTGGATTGCTTTAGGTGATGGGAAGTTTTTCCAGACTAATGCCACCATGGGCCATCCCTGTTATGAAGTCCTTTAGCATTTACACTTAAAATATGAAACATATTACTGTACATCTGCTGAAATAATATTGCTAGATATGTGTATGTGCAGATAATTGTTTTGACTCATCAAGTAAAGGGTTGTTTCTTTTGCATCTTGCTTACTACTTATACAAATCATGAGAAGGCAACTATTACCAAATAAATACTTGAGGTATTCTATTGAATTGGTTGTTTATTCATTCATCCAACCTATTCAGTGTTACTCACTGTGCTAGCTGCTGTATGTACACGGATAAATCAGATGGTCTTATCTCCCAGCAGTTCATAGTCTAGAGGGAAAAAAGAAAAGAAAAACAAGAAAATAGACACACAGAATACAAAATCTGCAAGAAGCATGGAATTAAAAAGAAGAACCTGCTAAGTAAGTGTAAAATGAGGGTGGAAGAAGGAAAGAGTGGAAACAGGAGGACCAGTAGAACTTTAATGAGGCAAAAGACACGAGGGACAAAGTGCTCCAGGCAGAAGGCAAAGCAAAGAAGGAGGTACTGAGGTTGTGATGGAATGGTTGGGTAATGTGCATGTTTCCACAAAGCTATAGAGAAGAATCTTGAGAAATGGTGAGAGGTGAAGCTAAGAAGATGGCCAGAGCCAGATTATAAGGGACCTTGTATGGTATGTTGATCTCATACTTAGATCTCAGAAAGTATGAGGATGGACCTGAAGGAAAATAAGCCTTCATGTCCCACTAACAGATCAACCTTAAATATAGTTCTCTTTGACATTATTCTTTTCTTTGTTCTCTGTTTTAAGCATTAAATCCCCCTCTCCTGGATTGTTTTAGCTAATGTGAATGAAGCCTTTCCTGACTAAGGCCACCATGGGCCATCCGTCTGTTTTGAAGTGCTTTAGCACTTACATTTAAAATATGGAACACACTGCAGTATGTCTACTGTAACAGTGTTGCTAGTATGTGTGTACCTGTACTTTGCCCTGCCCACTGCTGGTCTGAGACTAGTCATTTGACTTCTGACTAGGACCAGGCAAGTGACTTCAGGTTCTGTCTGCTCCTCAGGTATCTGTTTTCCAATACTTGAAATTTCTTTCATTCCAGGCTGTACCCTCAGTCTCACACTCCATGCCAAATACTACTGTCAGATTATCTATATTCTTGTATTTTTCTCTCTCACATCTCTGTTATTACATCTCCAGTGTTTGATTACCTATGAAATACAGCAGAAATCCTGCACAATATGACCTCAAAAGTATCTCCACTATCATTTCCCATTTCCCCCTAAACACACTGTTTATGAATGGGAGCTATGGTTTCTCAATTCCACGTCCTGGCTCAAGCAGTTCTTTCCGCAATGTCCTTTCCATTTTCTGTCTGCTCAAACCTTCTCAGTCTTCTAGTCATGTCTCCCACATTACTTTGTCTTCTTAGAATCAACAGTGTATTTCATTTCTATTCTTTCAGCATTTATTGTTCTCTGCTCTGTCTTTGCATTTATTTATTTTATTCATCTGACAAAAATGACTGCTCCTTGATGGTCAGAACAAAGTCTTAGCCATGTTTTTTAATTTTCCCTAGTACATTGCACCATTTCTTAAGCAGAGGTGCTAGGTTAACATCAAATTAGAACATACTAAATTTGTGACCATTATTAATGAAGCTTAGTTAATCTACTCTTTTCTTCATAAATGATCATAGTAGTTACTTTATCACCTCAAATTACTTTACTATGTTATTTACAAGGAAGGTAGAGGCTGATGTCTTATCTCTATTTTATAGAAGTAAACATTTGAGTAATAAGGAGTTAAAAAATTTACTTAAGAGATTCGGGACTGGCATCTAAGTTCCTGATACCAATTCAGTATTTGTTTAGACTACGCTAGATCTAAGATGCTTTCCCTTGAAGAGATTAAAAGGTAAGCTTTAAGAAAATATTAAGAATTGCTTTTACTACTATTTATCATCAATACTGGAGGAAAGATAATGAAAAAGTTGTTAAATGTAAGTAAAAAAATAAGTTAGGTGGTTTCTAGTTTCATAACTCAGAGATATAAAGATTTCAATTAAAGGGATAGAAAGTGAAGACATAGTTTAGAGTGATCTAAGTTAATTTGAACTATTCTGGGTTTTAATATACTGAAAATAAATTTATTCAAAGCCATTTCACTACATGGCAAACCCACCCATAGACCATTTGGAGGAAAATGTCAGATCAATATCCTAAGGCCGTAAGAACCTTTGTTGCAACCATTTGAGGGCAGATTCAGGTGTGAAGACAACCTCACCAATATATAAAAGGCTATAAACTGTATTTAAGAAACATACCACCCATTCACAAATAAAGCATAAAGATTTGAGGAATACTAGTCATCCAAATTTTAAAACTTGCATAAAATTTGCATCCAGCTTTAAGTTAAACCAATAACAGCTTAGGAAAATGGCTAAGGCAAAAAGACTATAGTGAAATTAAAACGTTTTGAAAAACAATCTTCTGTCTATAACTCATCAATTGTTGGCAAATTGACCTTTTGGAAACTAATTTTCAGTAAATTGTCCTGTTTCCAGTTTGGAAAAATGTCTGGCCTCAGTTACTTACACACACTTCTTCTATTAAGGTTCTAGGTTTGTGTATAGATACTGCAGCTGATCTCCAATCCAAGGCCATAGTGTGAACCTTGACTCTATTACAACTAGTACTGCTTTTCTTACTTATGTCCTTCTTTAAGATTTTAAGTTCTATGATGATCAAGACCATACACCATATCTTATGATTCTATGTGCCAATATCTTGCACACTGTTTTATATTTGGTAGCTAGCACTGTTAGCTATTGAGTGAGAGCAGGGCATTAACCTAATTATCTCACTTTTGACAGGGCAATTAGGGGAACTCTCAAAAGATATTTCCTCCTTATCGTGGTTCAATAGTTTCATCTTTATATACAAAAGATATGGTAATTTTGCAACTAAATTGAGCTTATTCTTGAGCTGAATAGAGTTTAGCTGCCCTATTATAATCTCATTCAACTTGACTAAATACTTTTCTTGATTGGCAATTGGAAAAGGAACCCTATATTATCCTTCTAAATCCTACCAATTATTGAATAATGTTTATCTAAAAAACCTTGAATTACAAGATATTTCTGTCATTATTAATGATTACTTTCAGTCGGAATTTGAATTACTTTAATCACTTGTTCTTTCTGTTTTGTAATGAAGCAAAGCCCAACAAAAAAGCAAAGCTTCTCAAGCTATAAGCCAGGGCTCCTGGCTATTTTATTATTTTAGAAATGCCTCTCTCCAGATATATTGACCCTGAGACAGCCTGCTTTATCTCTGATCTACAGGGAGGAAGGCCATACCGTATCATATCTGGTATCCGAGATTTCTCTCCTACATTTCAGAGGTCCTGAACTCTTCTGCAATTACCTCCTAGAGTCTCCTTGATTCTCAGCCCTGAAAGTCTCTAGTTTGATCTAGCCTGTGTTGTGTCTTTTTCTGAACTATTTATTAGCTTGTTGTTAATGCTTCTCATGAAATCTGATTAATGCCCATTATTCTAAGCTGTATTTTGCTTACATGCTATCATATATTATCATAGTATTTTCTATATTATATTTTAGCTATACCCACACCTGACTTTCCCATTTGATTCTGAACATTCTTTTTGCCCTTTGTCCTCAAATAGACAGTTGTCCTTGATAATATATTCTTTCACACTAGGAAGATTCCCCTTTTATAGATGTGAAATGATTAGGTGTCCAAATCCCCTAAAATGTAATCTACTCAAATCCTAAAACTACCAGAACTTGAACTCCATAACAGCAAGGAGCTTCCTTGTCACGTCCATCATTAAATCCTAGTTCACAGAACATGCCTGGCAATAATCACTACTAGTCTCAATAATGCTTGTGGCACAAAAGAATACAATTAGTCCTTTGTATCTACGGGTTCTGCATCCATGTATCAACCAACCATAGATCGCAAATATTCCAAAAAGTTGCACTTGTCCTGAACAGGTACAGACTTTCTTCTTGTTGTTATTTTCTGAACAGTAAATTGTAATAACTACTTACACAGCATTTGCATTGTATTAGATATTATAAATAATCTAGAGATGATTTGGATTATACAAGAGAATGTGCATAGGTTGTATGCAAATGCTAGGCCATTTTACATCAGGAACTTGAGCATCCTCAGGTTTTGGTATCTGAGGAGGGAACTGAAAGCAATCCCCCCCGGATACTGAAAGATAACTGCACTTTGTTAATATGCGACATTATGAAAGGAACAGTGTTCAGTTGGTCTTTTTAGATATTTATAAATCATAAGGACTGCAACATTATTTTCAAGACTTAGAGACAGAACAGCATTTTTATGTAACAGTGATTCTTAAAATTTTCATCACTGATATATTTCGTTCATGGTGGTTTCACAGGAAACATTTATATCTGAATATGCAAATAATTGTCAGTTTTTAAGTTTTACAGTTTCTGGGCTTTCTGCTTTCAAAGTGACTGCCACTCCCACATAGAAACTCAAGCAACTGCTATTAACTTGGGTAGGGTAGCGTATTCTAGGCTGGCTTCAAGTTAGGCATCCTTTAGGATGACTTCAAGAGTCAGGCCATGCCACCCCCTAGAAGTTTCCTGTGTGTTCTGAGTGGTCCAAACTGTTCCCTGACATGGAATGTCCTGAGACCCTGATCTATCTGAGGCTCAGGAGCACTGTGGAAAATAATTTAAACCTGTCCAGCAACTTAGGTTTGCATGTGTGCTGATTCTGTGGGACTAGGATTCCCTAAAAGAGACCAGATTGGAGGAAGAAACAGTGGAATATTGAAAGAAAAACTGCCCGAGAGGAGGCAAAGCCTGGCCAAGTGGGCAGAGTGAGCATAAAAGGAAGCCAGCCTTCCAGGGACTGAGTCTGACCACTGGGTCCAAGCCTGGGTTCGAGCCTGAGTTTGAGCCTGGGTGGAGGGGAGCAGAGGTCCAGAGGGCTATTAGGGGTCTAGAGATCCAGACAGTGAGGATGGCAGCAGATCAATGGTGCTCACTGCAAAAAAAAAAAAAGTGGGGGAGGGAGGTGGAGGGGCTCTTGGAACAGCAGACACAAGAGCAGAGAGCATAAACTGGAGAGGCAACTGCTCCAATTACAAAGGAGACCCTCCTGGCCTTTTCGCTGGTGAAAGCTCAATGAGGTGAGAACGACTAGCTTTCCAACCAAACAATGCTCAAAGGACAGATTCCCACCCCCACCTCCAGTTAGAGGAAATATAGATTGTATGAGTAAGAAGCCTCAAGCTGAAAGGAAAAAAACGAAACTTTAAAAAAATTCAAGTCATGTCACTAATTCAGCTCCTAGCAGCCTTTTCAATGAAAGTGTAGACTCATGGAAAAAGAAAAACAACATGTATTTGAAAATTTGTTTTGTCCTTACAAGAGATGGTGGAGAGATGCAGATATTCTAGCCACAATTGGAAATAGAAGTATAGTGCCCCTGAAGCCATGCCAGCAAGGTGTGCTTACCCTCAGTGCGGGGTGTGGTGGGAGAAGGACATTCAATATTTCAGGGGTATTCAGCATGAGTGTTTCAAAGAAATACCACTGACAGGAGTTACTTACCAACTTGCTAGTACCTTGACAAGAAGTGGTGTATTCCAGTTCCGAGATTGCAGAGATGTCTGGGTCCAGAAGGCATGAGGTCTGGAGCAACAAGCCCACTGGACCTGAAATAATAGCAACCACTTACTACTTGCTGGGTACGTTCTATGTTCTTTGCATCTACTGTATTCACTTATTAATTTAATCCTCAAAACAACTCTATGAGATATCATATATATATATATATATATATTCAATATCTATGATATACGGATTGTTATTAAACCCAATTTTATAAAGGAGGGAATTGAGGTACAAAAAGGCTGAGTAATTTCCTCAAAGTCACACAGTTGGTGAGTAGCAGAGTTGAAATTCAAACCCAGATTGTCAGGCTGCACAGTCTGTACTCCTAACCCTAGTGTCTTCGTGCCTATGTGATGACACTTCTTTAGCACTTACACTGCACCAGGTTCCCTTCCAAGCACTAGGTTAACCCATTTGCGGTACGAAGTGAAGATAAGGATAGTGGAAGTTAAAATTTACCTAGGGCTTCTTCTATTCCGAAGTAATTTTTAAAAAGAAAATAACTGAGATTCTCTAATCTCCACTACTGAAGAATATAACTTGATAAGGAAATGAACTAATATAAAGAAAGAATGGATGCAATAAAAATCCCAATTTTTAAAATCATGGGATTCTTTTTTTCTCCTTTAATTGTTATTTTTTGTTCAGGGGTACATGTGCAGGCTTATTATATAGGTGAACACATGTCATGGGGGTTTGGTGTACAGATTATTTCATCACCCAGGTACTAAGCATAGAATCCAATAGGTATTTTTTCTGATCCTCTGCCTTTCACCCTCCACCCTCAAGTAGGCCCCAGTGTCTGTTGTTTCCCTCTGAAAATCACAGGATTCTAATGTTAAATAAACAGTAAGTAGATTCGCATCATTAAATCATAGAATACTACAGAATAAAAGTGAATGGAAAAGAAAGAGCTAAATGTATCAACCTTAGCAGATCCTCAAAAAAGTAAAAATGTTGAGTGAAAAAAAATCAAGTTGCAAAATACTACGTGCAGTGTGATACCATTTATATAAAGTTTTAAGATATGCAAAATAATTCTATACATTTTCTTAGTAGGGAAAGATATGTAGTAACATCCTAAAGACATGAATGAGAATGATAACCACCCAATTCCAAATGCTGGCTACCTCTGCACAGGAGGAAGGATATATGAATGCGGAGAATATCTAAGGGAATCAATCTGTTTTTCATATTTTATTTATTAGGTTGTGTGATAGTACATTACTGTTCTCTCTCCACAAACCTGAAAACTTCTAAAATGAAGAAATCATTAAGTAGTTTCAGACTAGATGGTAATGCCATAGATAGATAGATAGATAGATAGATAGATAGATAGATAGATAGATAGATAGATATAGATAGATAGATAATCACACACATATACACATTTCCATTCAGATAAATAACCTATGTCTCTCTTCTCATGTCTGTCTTTTAGGAATACTTTTCTCCACTAGATCAAAAGGAAATCTCTTGAAAAGAAAGCTGTAGCTGTACATAATACATATACTGGGTATCTTCCATTCTACTTGCCATACTCTGCACCCTGCTCTGTGCCTTGGGAGGCTAACCTGAATCAACTGCATCAACAGGACTTTCACACCTTCTGGGCCCTGGTTGGATTCAGCCAATGGTAAGCTCCCATGAAATCAGAGGAAAAGAGGAGAGGGAGGTTATGGTATTTATTCCCTTGTCTTCCTTCTGGTAGGCTGTCTTGACTTGGCAGACTCCTTCACCAAAAAAAAATTGCTCTTTTCAAAACAATTCAACATAAATCTTTCTATATTCTGGTTTCTTCTAGTTCCAGTAACTACTCTCTGCCTCAGTTCTTTGTGCTTATGAGTGGTAAACTATTGAGTTGCTATTATTAGCTCCTGGTTCCTGCACTATCCCTTGCAAATAATCTATTTAAAAATAAACTCTTCTTGAGTTGCCCCTCATATGTCACTAGTTTTATTCTCTTATCTTCAGATATTTTATGCCTTAACTAGCCTTTCATTCCCTAAAAACTGAAAATATATGCATCTTTATATATCCATTTATGTATGTATGTATTTTTTCTTTTATAGTGTTAAAACAAACTGGGATCCAGAGACATGAAGGGCCTTGCATACAGTAAGCATTCACTAATATAAAGGCACTTCCTGATGATTGTCCAAGTCCCTGGCTAATTGTTCATGTCTGCCCTCTGTCAGGACTGCCTGGCACTGCCTGAACTGGTCTCCTCCTTTGACATCTGCGAGCCCCACTTGGCCCAGGTACCCCTGCCTTGGGACCGTAACCCATTCACTTATTGAATTGCCAGCATGGTACATTTCCCACCTTGGCCCTGGTGCAGGCTGGCCCACTCCATGACCTCCACCACGTGGACAAAAACCCTCAGAAGGTGCAGGAATGTAGGGGTGGGCTTCATTAGGCCCCAGGCACCTGTGGGGAGAGGCCACTGGCTACTGCTGGAAGGAACGTAGGGAATCATCTACAGTCCAACTCATGTAAGAACACTTTACATGAGATCTACCTTCTTAAATTGTAAGTGCACACTACAGTATTGTTAACTATATGCCCAATGTTGTACAGATCTCTAGAACTTGTTCCTCTTGTATAATTGAAACAGTATACCTATTGAACAGCAACTCTCAATTTTCCCTTACCCTGACCCCTGCCAACCACCATTCAACTCTCTGTTTCTATGAGTCTATTTTAGATACCTCATATAAGTAAAGTCATGCAGTATTTGTCCTTCTGTGACCAACTTATTTTATTTAGCCCAACGTCCTCCAGAGTCATCCATGTTGTTGCATATTGCAGGATTTCCTTATTTTTTAAGGCTGAATAGTATTCCATTGTATTACATGTAGTTAGCACATTTTCTTTATCCATTCATCCATCAGTAGACATTTAGGTTGTTTCTGTATTGTGGCTATTGTGAATAGTCTTGCAAAGAACATGAGTATGCTATCTCTTCAAGATCCAGATTTTAATTACTTTGGACATATACCCAGAAATGAGATTTTTGGATCATATGGTGGTTCTATTTTTAATTTTTTGAGGAACCTCCATACTATTTTCCATAGCAGCTGCACCATTTTACATTCCCATCAACAGTATTCAAAGGTTTCCATTTCTCCACATTCTCACCAACCCTTGTTAGCTCTTTTTATATAAAACAGTCATCCTGACAGGTGTGAGATAATATCGTAGTTCTGATTTGCATTTCCATGATGATTAGTGAGGTTGGGCATCTT
This sequence comes from Homo sapiens, assembly GCF_000001405.40. NCBI lineage: Eukaryota > Metazoa > Chordata > Mammalia > Primates > Hominidae > Homo > Homo sapiens. The sequence continues at coordinate 71,286,027 of NC_000012.12, forward strand.
TTCATATACCTATTGGTCATTTGTATGTAATCTTTGGAGAAATATGTATTTGAGTCTTTTGCTCATTTTTAACTAGGTTATTAGTTTATTTTATATTGAGTTATAAAAGTCCCTTATATATTTTGGATATTAACCCCTTTCAAGATACATGTTTTGTAAATATTTTTTCCATTCTGTAGATTGCATTTTCATTTTGTTGATTGCTTCCTTTTCCGTGTAGTTTTTAGTTTGATATAATCACACTTGCCTATTTTTGCTTTTGTTGTTTCTGATTTGGTGTTATATGCAAGAAATCATTGCTTAAACCTATGTCATGAAGCTTTTACCCTATGTCTTCTTCCAGTTTTACAGTTTAAGGTCTTACACTTAAATCTTCAATGTATTTTGGGTTTACTTTTGTGTGTGATGTAAGATAAGGCTAACTTCATTCTTCTGTATGTGGATATCCAGTTTTCCCTGTACCATTTGTTGAAAAGACTCCTTTCTACATTATCTATTCTTGGCATCTTTGTTGAAAATCAACTGGCTGTTTATGAATGAGTTTATTTCTGAGCTCTATAGTATATATAGACCATTGGTCTATATATTTGTTTTTATGCTAATACTATACATTTTAATTTGTATAGCTTTGTAATATTGAAATTGGGAAGTGTGATACCTTCAGCTTTGTTCTTCTTGCTCAAGATTGCTTTGTCTATTCATGGCCTTTTGTGGTATCATCTGAATTTTAGGATTGTTTTTGCAATTCTGTAAAAAATGCCATTGGGATTCTGATAGGAATGTTAATGAATCTGTAGATTGCTTTGGGTATTAAGGACATTTTTAACAATATTAAGCCTTCCAATCCATGAACCAGAGATATTTTTTAATTTATTTGTGTCTATTTAAAATTTTTTATCAAAATTATACACTTTTCAGTGTACAAGTTTTTTACCTCCTTGGTTAAATTCATTCCTAAATATTTTATTCTTTTCAATAGTTTTGTAAATGGAAATCTGTTATGCCTTCTAACAGTATTTTTTCTCAAAGTCTTGATATCTACATTTAACATCATGCCATCTGAAAATAGAGAAAACATTACTCCTTCCTTACCAAATTGGCTCTCTTTTGTTTCTTTTTCTTGCCTAATTGCTCTCCCTAGGATTTCCAAGAGTATATTAAATAGAAGTGGCAAGAGTGGCCATCCTTGCCTTGATCGTGATCTTAGAAGAAAAGCTTTTGGTTTTTCCCTTTTGAGTGTGATGTTAGTGGTGAGTTTGTCATATATAATTTTAGTTGTGTTCAGGTAAATTCCTTCTACACCTAGTTTGTTCAGAGTTTTTATTATGAAAGGGCACTGTTTTTTTTTTCAAACGCTTTTTCTACATCTACCGAGATTATCTTGCAGTTTTTTTATGCTTCATTCTGTTGATGTGGTATGTCATATTAATTGATTAGCATACGTTGAACTATCCTTACATCCCAGGGATAAATCCCACTTGGACATGGTGTATGATCCTTTTAATGTACCGTTGAATTTGGTTTTCTTACACTTTACTGAGGATTTTTACATCTATGTCATGAGGGATCTTGACTTGTAGCTTTCTTTTCCTGTAATATCTTTGCCTGGCTTTGGTATCAAAGTAATATTGGCTTCATAAAATGAGTATGGAAGCATTTCCTTTTCTTGACTTTTTGGAAAAGTTTAAGAAGAATTGGTGTTAATTATTTTTTAAATGTTTGATAGAAGTCACCAGTGAATCCAACTGGTCCTGAGCTGTTCTTTGTTGAGCGTTTATTACTGAAACAGTCTCCTTATTAATTATTGGTCAATTCACTTTTTCTATTCGTAATTTACTCTTGGTAGATAGTATATTTTTAGGAATTCTTCTGGTCATCCAATTTGTTGGTGCATAATTGTTCATAGTATTCTTTGATAATCTTTTATTTCTCTGGCATCAGTTGTAATATCTCCTCTCTAATTTCTGATTTTATTTATTTGAATCTTCACTATTTTTATTTCAGATAGTCTAGCTAATGGTTTTTAAATTTTGTTGATCTTTTAAAAAAAAACCAACGCTTGGTTTTATTGATTTTTTCCATTGTATTTATAGTTTCAATTTCAAATTCTAATATTTATTATTTCCTCCCTTACTTTGTTCTTCTTTTTCTAGTTCATTGAGGAATAAAGCTAGATTGTTTAAGATCTTTCTCCTTTTTTAACATATGCATTTATCACTATGAATGGCTCTCTTTTGCTGCACTCCATAGTTTTGCTACATTGTTCAAGTCCATTGTTTCCCTACTAAGTTTCTGTTCTACTCATTATTGAAAGTGGTGTATTGAAGTATTTTACTAGTATTTTAATGTGGTCTATTTCTCCCTTCAGATATGTCAGTGTTGCTTCATATATTTGGGTGCTCTGATATTTGAGGTGCATATACATTTATAATTATTATATATTTCTGGTGAATTGACCATTACTATTGTGTAATGACTTTATTTGTCTTTTGTGACAGTTTTGCCTTCAAGTCAATTTTGTCTGATATGAATCTTGCTACCTCTGCTCTCTTTTGGTCACCATTTGCATGGAATATTTAAGAACACACTTACAGTGTGTTCTTAAATCTAAAGTGAGTCTCTTGTAGACAGCATATAGTTTGATGTTATTTTTATTTATCCACTCAGCTACTTTATATTTTTTGAATGATAGTTTAATCCACTTACATTTAAAGTAATTTTTTTCTTTTTTTTTTTTTTGAGACAAAGCCTCACTCTGTCACCCAGGCTGGAGTGCAGTGGCACGAACTCAGCTCACTGTAACCTCCACCTTCTAGGTTCAAGCCACTCTCCCCTGTCAGCCTCCTGAGTAGCTGGGATTACAGGCACGTGCCACCACACCTGGCTACTTTTTGTATTTTTAGTAGAGATGGAGTTTCATCATGTTGGCCAGGCTGGTCTTGAACTCCTGACCTCAAGTGATCCACCCGCCTCGGCCTCCCAAAGTGCTGGGATTACAGGTGTGAGCCACCGCTCCTGGCCTTAAAGTAATTATTGATGGAGTTAAACTTACTATTGCCATTTTTTTCAAATTTTTTCTGTCTTTCTTGTATTTCTTTTGTCTCTCTTTTCCTCTTTTGTTGTATATCTTTGTAATTTGTTGATCTTTTTTGTAGCAATATGCTTTGATTCCTTTCTCATTTTCTTTTGTGTGTCTTCCATAGGTATTTGTGGTTTCCATGATGCTTACATAAAACATGTTATATTAATAGTTATAACAATATATTTTAAGCTGATAACAACTTGACTTTGATCACCTACAAAAGCTTTACAATTTTACCTCTCACACATTCACTCTTATATTATTGATGTCACAATTTACACTTTTTAATATTGTATATTTATTGACAAGTTTTTGTAGTTATAGTTATTCCTAGTACTTTCGTCTTTTAACTTTTAAGCTAGAATTAAAAGTGATTTACTCACCACCATTACCATATTATAGTATTCTATATTTGTCCTTTAGGCTTCCTTAATCTGAATGTCCATTTTTCTGACCAGATTTGGAAAGTTTTGGGCCATTATTTTGTTAACTTTTTTTCTGCGTTTTTTTCTCTTTCTTTTGGGACTCCCATAACAAATGTTGGTTCACTTGATGGTGTTCCATAAATCCCATAGACTCCCTTCACTCTTTTTCATTCTTTTTTTCCTTGTGCTATTATAACTAGATACTTTAAAATGACTGGTTGTCAAGTTTATTGACTCTCTTTTGCTTGATAAAGTCTACTGTTGAAGCCCACTAGTACATTTTTCTGTTCCTTTATCATATTCTTTAGATATAATTTGTTTTAGGCCTTTTTTATAATTTCTATTTGTTGATATTCTGATTTTGTTCATATTTCACTTTTCTGAATTAACTTAGTTATCTATCTGTGTTCTGTAACTCACTGAGCTTTCTTAAGACTATTATTTTAAATTTTTGTCAGGCAATTCAGAAATCTGCATTTCTTTGGGGCTAATTACTGGAGATTATTTTATATCTTTGACTGTGTTCAATATGAAAGGAAAGCATGTTTACGATATGATAAATAATCACCTGAAGGTAAGAAACTCACTAGTAATAGTAAGTATACAGAAACACACCGGTTTGTTTCTGGGTTCTCTATTCTGTTCCATTGGTCCATGTGTCTGTTTTTATTCCAGTAGCAGGCTATTTTGGATACTAATACTTCTGTAGTATAATGAGAAGTCAGGTAATGTGATTCTTCCAATTTTATTCTTTTTGCTTAGGATAGCTTTGGCTATTCTGGGTCTTTTGTGGTTCCATATGGATTTTGGAATTCTTTTTGTATTTCTGTGAAAAATTGTGTTGGTATTTTGATAGGGATTGCATTGAATCTATGGATTGCTTTGGGTACTTTAAACATTTTAGCAATATTGATTCTTCCAATCCATGAATATGAAATATCTTTTCATTTTTTGGTGAAGTCTTCGATTTCTTTCATCAGTGTTTGATAGTTTTCATTAAAGAGATCTTTCACTTCTTGGTTAAGTTAATTTCAAGGTATTTAATTTCTTGGTTGGCTATTGTAAATGGGATTACTTTTTTATTTTTTTTCCACATTGTTCACTACTGGCATACAGAAAGAAATGCAACTGATTCTTGTACATTGATTTCATATCCTGCAACTTTACTGAATTTATCAGTTTTAATATATTTTTTGGTGGATTCTTTAGGTTTTTCCTAATATAAGATCATATCATCTGCAAATAAGGATAATCTGACTTCTTCTTTTTCAATTTGAATGTGCTTTATATCTTTCTTTTGTCTGATTGCTCTAGCTAGGACTTCCAGTACTATGCTGAATAATAGTGGTGACAGTGGGCATACCTTCAAGGAGACTTATTTACTATCATGAGAACAATATGGGAAAAACCTGCCCCCATGATTCAATTACCTCCCACTGGGTCCCTCCCACAACACGTGGGGATTCTCACAATTCAAGGTAATATTTGGGTGGGAACACAGAGCCAAATCATATCTCTCTGCCCCTAGTCCCTCCCAAATCTCATGCCCTCACATTTCAAAACCAATCATGCCTTCCCAACAGTCCCCCAAAGTGTTAACTCATTTCAGCATTAACTCAAAAGTCCACAGTCCAAAGTATCATCAGAGACAAGGCAAGTCCCTTCTACCTTTACCTACTATAAAATCAAAAGCAAGTTAGTTACTTCCTAGATAAAATGGGGGTACAAGCATTGGGTAAATACACCTGTTCCAAATGAGAGAAATTAGTCAAAATGAAGGGACTACAGGCCCCACGCAAGTCTGAAATCCAGCGAGGCACCCAAATCTTAAACTCCAAAATGATCTCCTTTGACTCCATGTCTCATATCCAGGTCACACTGATGTAAGAGTTGGGTTCCCATGGTCTTGGGTAGCTCCATTCCTGTGGCTTTTCAGTGTACAACCTCCCTCCTGGCTGCTTTCATGGGTTGGCATTGAGTATCTGTGGCTTTTCCAGGTGCATGATGCAAGCTGTTAGTGGATCTACAATTCTTAGGTCTGTACGATAGTAGTCCTCTTCTCACAACTCCACTAGGCAGTGCCTCAGTTGGGAGTCTATGTGGGGGTTCCAACCTTACATTTCCCTTCTGCACTGCCCTAGCAGAGGTTCTCAATGAGAACCCCACTCCTGCAGCAAACTTCTGCCTGGACATCCAGGAGTTTCCATACATCTTCTGAAATCTAGGCAGAGGTTCCCAAACTTCTATTCTTGACTTCTGTGCACCCACAGGATCAACACCATGTGGAAGCTACCAAGGCTGAGGACTTGCACCCTCTGAAGCCACAGTCTGAGCCATACCTTGACCCCTTTTAGCCACAGTTGAAATGGGATGCAGGGAACCAAGTCCTTAGGCTGCACCAACCAGAGGGACCCCAGGCCTGGCCCGCTAAACCATTTTTTCCTCCTAGGCCTCTGGGCCTGCAATGGGAGGGGCTGCTGCAAAGATCTCTGACATGCTTTGAAGACATTTTCTTGTCTTGGAAATTAACACTTTGTTCCTCATTACTTATGCTAATTTCTGCAGCCGGCTTGATTTTTTTTCTCAGAAAAATGGGTTTTTCTTTTCTATCACATCATCAGGCTGCAAATTTTCCAAACTTTTGGAAAAAGTCCACAAGTCACCTCTTGAATGCTTTGCTGCTTAGAAATTTCTTCCACCAGATACCCTAAATCATCTCTCTCAATTTCAAAGTTCCACAGATCTCTAGGGCAGGGGCAAAATGCCACCAGTCTCTTTGCTAAAGCCATAACAAGAGTCACCTTTGCTCCAGTTCCCAACACGTTCATCATCTCCATCTGAGACTGCCTCGAACTGAAGTTCATTGTCCGTATCACTATCAGCATTTTGGTCAAAAACATTCAACAAGTCTCTAGGAAGTTTCAAACTTTTTTCACATCTTTCTGTCTTCTGAGCTCTCCAAGTATCTAAGAAGTTCCAACCTTTCCCACATTTTCCTATCATCTTCTGAGCCCTCCAAACTGTTCCAACCCCTGCCTATTACCCAGTTCCAAAGCCAATTCCACATTTTTGGGTATCTCTACAGCAGCATCCCATTCTACTGGTACCAATTTACTGTACTAGTCCATTCTTATGCTGCTAACAAAGACATACCCCAAACTTGGTAATTTATAAAGGAAAGAGGTTTAATGGACTCACTATCATGAGAACAGCATGGGAAAAACCTGCCCCCATGATTCAATTACTGCCCACCGAGTCCCTCCCATGACACATGGGGATTATTACAATTCAAGGTGAGATTTGAGTGGGGACACAGAGCCAAATCATATCAAGCGTATACCACCAAAGGATTAATATGCCATTATATAAAAAAACTAAGAAACCCTCAGTGTTTTGATATAGAAGATCTCCAAGATATATCATGATGTGTAAAAACCAAGGGGCAGATTTTCCATTTGCTATGTAAGAAGCTGGAAGTCAGCCCTCTGTCCTAACAACTAAAAAGCTAAACAAACTAAAATATCACAAACCTTCACAGATTCATCAGAGACGTGGGAGTCATAGGGCAAACAGCTGCCCTCAAAATTGGAGAGACTGACAGTTGAACACACAGCTGGAGGCCATTATTCTAAGTGAAGGAACTCAGGAAGGGAAAACCAAATACTGTATGTTCTCACTGACAAGTGGGAACTAAGCTATAAGTATTCAAAGGCATAGAGTGGCATAATGGACACTGGAGACTCAGAAGAGGAGAAGGTGGGAGGGGAGTGACAGACAAACAACTACATATTGGGTAAAATGTACACTACTCAGGTGATGGGTGCAGTAAAATCTCAGACTTCACCATTACACAATGCACCCATGTAACCAGAAATCACTTGTACCCCGGAAGCTATTGAAATAAAATATATATATATAAAAAATTAAAGGACTGGAGTGAACTAGCTTAGGTCCTTTTGGCTCTTCTACTCTTCTGCCATTTGAGGACATAGCATTTTTCCCCCTTCTGCCCTTCCATTGCTTCTTCTATGTGAGGACAAAATGTTCCTCTCCTCCAGAGGAGCAGCAACATGGTGCCATCTGGAAGCAGAGAGAAGTCTTCACCAGACACCAATATTGTTAGCACCTTAATCTTGGACTTCCTAGCTAGCAGAACCATGAGGAATAAATTTTTATTATTTATAAATTACCCAGTGTGTGATTATTTTGTTACAGTAACACAAATGGACTAAGACATTATTCATTAATGTCCGAATACATTCTACCACACCAGTGTTTAGAGAAATTAAACTATGGCATTCACGTTTGCCTGAGACAACAGTTAGTTATTCCCACCATGAAGATGGCTTTCTTCAATTGGTCTCCTTTTATCTAATCAGTCTTACTTCCTTCCAGGCCTGCATTCCTCTTTCCATCTCCTCTTTTTCTGCTCTCTTCTCTTAACACTTTTTCTGCTCTCTTGCTTTCTCTTTGCAAAAACCTGTCCCTCATACAAGCATTACTGAGCCACACAGGCAGCATTCAAGACTAGATTTTTCATTATCTGTACCAAAGATTCTCATCATGTAAATCTCACCACTTGACTGCCCCCCAAAAAACTCTAATTTTGACTTTATTTATTACTTTCATGTCAAGTCTCTATTCCGTCATAAAACATTTTTATCTTAAAAGCCAAAACCTGAAGAATCGTTTAGCCAACAGCAACACCATCTGATTCACCATTTGAAGTTCATTAACTGTGTTCTCATTCTAGCCCCATTACTTATTTATCACTTCCCATTAGCTGAAAATCCACTCTCAAAACTAAAGGCCATAGGGAAATGTATTATTTGCATGTATGCTCATCTCTGTGCCAAACAGAATTTCTATTTCCAAAAATGGTATAAAAATAGTTTGAAGGTAGAAGTTTAATGGATAAAATGGAACAAAACTTAAAAGAAAAGCCACATTGACCCATTATTGTTTATTACAAGCTGTTTGTACACCCATGGAGTAATATGAGGCATAGAAAACACCAGTACTCAACAAGATTTTTCTTAGCCAAAGTAGATAGTTACCAGAGACAATGTTTGTTTATATCTATCTTATTTAATATAATTTTCATACTTTTTTATAGAGGATAATAAAAAGACATTCAAATTAATGGAAAGACAAAATGTGGTGGTTTATGAAATAAGCTTTGGAATCAGACCTACTATCTGTGTGATCATATGAAAACACACTTAGTTTCATCTCAAAATGGTGATGACAATTTTCATCTCCATAAGACTGTTGTGAAAATTATATGAGAATATGTCAAGTACTTAGCATAGAACATGGCACATAGTAAACAGTTAAAATTAGCTATTAACATTACTATTTTTAGAGCCCAGGTTGATATACCCTTACCATGGTTGACATGCAAAATCTAAACTTCATGGTCCTCTGCAACTCATCTCTGGTAAAACTGTACGACCACTTGCAAGCACCCATTTCACTATGGCTTTCACCTTATTCTGTGTGCTCATCTGAATTACAGGCTACCACTAGAACTGTGCAGAAAATAAAGCAGCCCTCCTCTCAGAAAAAGGTTATTTTTTAAATCAAACTTGTAATACACATTCACTGAAAAAAAAAATATCATCTCTGATGTCATTATTAAACCTCGTGTCTTCCAGCCTGGAAGATATCAGACTAGGCCTTAGGTAAATGGTTAAATGATAAAGTTGTAACAACAGTAAAGTCATCATCATCATAATAAGGACAAAATAAAGAAGGAGAAAATAACCATGCCAGAAAAGAGTAAGAGCAAGAAAGTAAGAACAAGAGAGTAAATCAATTTAAAATTTGAAACTGGGAAATAAAAGGAGAAGCAGTTCTGCTGAACATAATCCAGACCTGAAAGTGCATTATAGGAAAGAAGAAAAAGATAAACCCCTCAATCAAACTCAAATCACGTTCTAGCCCTGGCCGGACCCCTATGGTCAGCTGATGTGTTTACAAGAAATGTACAAGTCTGCATTAGTTCCTAATTAGGTTAGGATGGCTGCCAAAGAAAATAGCCGTATTTTTAAACGTATGGTTATGGTTACAAATGGATACCAAAAGCCTTGACACTTAAGTGTCCATGACAATAGCCCCCAACTGAATCTCCCTAATTGGTCCCCCAAGGTTGAACCAGAAACATGTTTTATTCCCACAGAAGCCTGCCCTCAAGCCTGCCCTAGAAGCCACAGCATCTAGAAAATGGCACAACATCAACTCATTAAATTCAGTGACATGAATAACTTGGGTTGGTATGAAGGCAAAAAGTAATTGATTTAAAAGAATTGTGGATTTTATTATTCTATTTACCTCTAGCACTCACCTGCTAAGAATGTCCTTTGATAGTGGTTTCTTTACAAATCTTGGATGTTTATTCAGGAAGAAAATAAAATTAACTGCCTCTATATAAAATGTGGACCCCTTTTTGTCCCACACAAGCCATTCTGAGAAATAAAATAATTGACTAAATTACCCAAATCAGATTAAATTGTCCTTTCAGTTTAATTTATTCTTATAAAGCAGGTCAATAAATAATAAGATTATACCATTTGGAATCATCATCAGTGGCATCGCCTCCAATGAATCATGCAGATGGAATTCTTGCAGATTACAAATCTAAACCCAATGTGTCTTATAATCCAACAAAATGTCATCAAAAGGCTCAAGGAATCCCTTTTTACACTGCACTGCCAAGGAAAAAAGTGGGAAAAATCTAAAGTGTCTGGAGAGCAGAGAAATCCTCTTGAACCACTCATGCCAAATAGCACATATATTTTATGTAGACATAATTTTTCTGCCATTTATTTTCCCAAGTTAAATGTTTGTCTTTAATGAGCCTTAAGAATATTGAAAATGGCATTTATTGTTAATGAAAATTCCTTCCTTCCTCCTGCAAAATTCAGTGCTGGATCAAAAGTAGTAAGTGGAATATCATGCAAATGCAATGAACCGTTATTCCTCACTCCAGAATTATATCAGGAGACCACTGGAATATTGCATTCATTTAAGATGGGTACATTGTCCACAATACAAAAATATTAATGTCATTTCTACTTAAATGTTATAGGGATCCAGCCCAACAAACCCATGGGAATTCCTGTAAACTCAATTTCACGCTCTCAAGAAAGATAAAGGGAACTACATGATCCTAGGGCTGAATAAAGTGTCTTATGTTCATCAGTTGCCTAAAATCCTGGCTCCCAATTAGGGGCCATTTGCATCCCAAGAGACATTTGGCAATTTCTGCAAATATTTTTGGTTGTCACAACTGGGAGGAGAAGAGGTGCTATTGGCATTTAGTAGGCAGAAACCAGGAACATTGCTAAACATTGTATAATACACAGCACAGCAACACCACCACCCCTCAAAAAGCATAAAAATCATGTGATCCAATATGTCAACAGCTCAGAAAACAACATCCCTGAGTCATTGTAAGAAATATTCTACATATATGGGAATACAATAGTTTCATTTTTTTGGTCAGCATCATCATCCAAATCCTCAAAGCATTATCTTAATATTAACAACAAAATAGATCATGTGTATCGAGCTGTTTCTTTATATGGTCTCTGCTATCCAGAGTTTTTTTCATACATAGTTTAATCCTCCCAGCGGCCCACTAATAAAAAAACTGTTGATTGTCACCATTTTACAGTCCAGAAAAATGAGGCAGAGGGAATTTGTGACCCACCCAGTTCACATAACTACAAAGAAGTGGAATGCAAACCCAGGTCTATCTAACTTCAGAAACAAACCCTTAATGCACACTGGCCCCCACCCCCAAATTAGTAAAATAAATGGAAACCTGAGGAGAAAACTTAGAGGCAAAAATAGAAAGACAGGATTTTTTTAAAAAATGAGCTGCTAGATGAGGTTAACTTGATGTTAACACCCCCAGTACCACTATTCAGTCTCTTTTCTTTCAATACATGTAATGACTAGAAACAGCCCAAGTTGCATATATTGAATTAACCCAATTTCCTTCTGGGTAGTTCTCCAAGCCTTATTTTATAGTTAAAAAAAATCCATGTCTAAACTAATTCAGAACTGACTTGTGTACATAAAAATAACTAATATTTTCCATGGAATCTTGAAGCAAGATTCTGGGCCTGATTGTGTTGAGTGTGTGAGGCGCAGCAGGCTACCTAGTCTTCTAACTATTTTGTTTTGTGTGGGAGACCCGATTAGAACTATTCTATACTGGCTTTGGCATCGTAACCCAACTTAGGCTAAACAAGACGGTAGGGTGGGCCCCTGCAGGCACTAGCATTTCAAGAACACACACACAGACACAACTGTAATTTGAAATGGAAACAGCTAATTGTTGCCATCTGTGTCTGAGTAAAGTGTCCTTCATCATCGGTATGGGGGCAGAATTGAGGAGATAAGGGAAGCATAGATAAGTTATGTAAAAGAAAAAGGGTCAAAAATATTCTTCACAGGAGGGCAATAAGTGGTTGTTTTTAACTAGCTGGTAAGAACATCCAGGCACAATAAAAAAGCAGAGTTGACAGCAGCATACCATAGCTGGGCCTTCAACTTAATGGTTAATAAAAACACAGTAGTGGTAATTTTTTAAGTATTGCATAAGAGTGTTTTTTTAACAAAGGCTCATAAGATTGGAAGTAAATGAGACAAGTGTTTCTAAACTATTTAGCTCTGCTTCACTCCAAATGGATTTTCATTATTCTATGATTATTCTACCAAAGTCCTGATTTTACCATTATCCCTTGTATATCCCTCTATTACAGCCCTCATCACACAGCATTGCATTGGTCTACTAATTTATTGTCTTCTTCATTAGGCTGTGAATCTCTTGAGAACAGTAACTAGTCCATGTTTATACTGTTATCCCCAGGACATAGTATGGCATTTGGCATATAGTAGGTGCCTAAGACGATATTAACAAATACAGTAATGTCATCTTGAGGAAGATCCTAGGAATACAGAACAAGCTTATTTCTGTTAAATATTTCTTATTAATGACTTGGATGATGACATAGAAGGGTTGGTACTATTTTTAAATGGCACAAGAATGGAAGGGTTAGCTAAATATGTTAGATGACAGAAATAGAATTAAAATATATCTCTATAGGTTTGACTATTTGGCCCAAACTAATAGGATGGAATTTAGCAGAGACAAATGTAAAATCCTGCACTTCGGTTTAAACACTCAGTTGTGCAAATACAAGCCAACGTTGTCTCAGTTTAGTGCTACTTTATATGACAAAGTTTCAGGGATTTTACTGACAGAAATTTTGGTACAAGCCAAGTGCATGACTGGCTGCTGGAAAAGCTAATGTGATCTTAGGCTACCTTAGCTGAAGTGTGCTATTTACAATTCGCAGCCTGCCTAATTAGAAAGTGGTTTGAAGTGGCTATTAGTTTTGGTGTAACACATAGAACAAGAAAGAGGGCCTGCTGCACTTAGCATTGTTGTGCCATATCAGTGCCCTGTGATCAGCTCTAGGTACCACATTTAAGAGGGATATTGAAAAGCTGCAGCATCTGATGATGACTCCTGCCAATTGGAAGAATCTCCAGAAACCAAATGCTATGCTCCTATGCTGGACAGCTGAAAAAACTTGAAATGTTTAGGCTGGAGAAGGAAAGGCTTTCCTTGAATATTTTAATAACTGAATGTAGAAAATGTGCCCCATTCCCTATCTTGCTATTTCCACGAATAGGACCATCTGACTACCATTTTTATTGTCATTAAACATCTCTAATGCACACTATCTGGAGACATGAATCCTGTTCCTACTAAAGGAAAGCCCAAATAACCCTGATTTAGTTGTGACACATTTGGATGTCACATTTAGTTGCAACAACTCAGTTGTGTCGGGGCCAAGTGAAATTGTTGGTGATCTCACATTAATTTTATGGACTCGCCCCTGTGACCAATCTCCCCATTTCCCATTTCAGCATCTGAGCTCTTGTTTGTTCTCCATGCTTTGATCACCTTCCTGACGATGTTGCCACCTGCCTGCCTCCTGCCTGGGATTTCTGAGTTTGATCCTTCCGAAGGCTTCCTGTCACTGTGCTGGGACAGATATCATCTTGAGGACCTCCTTCATGGGTCACTGTTGACCCTGGAGACTGTGTTCCTCATGCCGGGCTCATGAACATATCTCATCTCCAGGTCCCATACACTCCCACGGTGGCTTTGCCGGTGCCTTCCTATGCTGATAATCTCTGTGACTCAGAAGGCTTAATTGATCATGTGAAGAGAAACTAAGTAGAGAAGTGTTTTTTTTTTTCTTTTATTCAGTTACAAGGAAGATGTTTCTAATAGTCCAAACGTTTTTAAAAACGGGATAAGCTGCCTTGTGAGAGGGGAAGTTCACTGTCACCAGGAACTTTTATAAAGCCTGGGAATAATTGGTCTCCAATGCCATGAAAAGATTTCTGCATTGTTAGCAAACTGAACTGGAGTGATTCTAAGGATAGAATATCTCAAGATTTAGTGTACAAAAAGTCAGCCAGACAACTTGTTTTAAAAAATGTAGAATTCCCAGAATTCAGTAAGTCCAGATTGAAGTACAAGAATCAGCATTTCAGACAAATCCACTCCTCTTCCCTCTCCACCCTAGGTGATTCCAATGCATGTGAATGTGAGTCATACTTTTTAAAACATTCTTCACAGAAGGGCAACCAGAGTCTCCTCCTACTCTGTATTAAGGGCTTCACTTATTTTTCTTAATTAAGATGTAACAGAGTTCTGTGGGAGTTATGGCATAATTATTAAGAACCTGGGAACAAAAACCAGGCTGCCAAGGTTCTTGCCTCTCCTACTTCATAAACCTCTGACTCTCCTACTTCATAAACCTCTCTCTGTCTTAATTTCCCCATCTACAAAATGGGATTTATATTAGTAATGACCTCATAGGGTTGTAATGAGGATTTAATCAATCAATTCATGTAAAGTGCTTAGAACAGCTCCCAGCTCACAGTAAATATTCAATATTATGATTACTATGAGGTAGTATTGTAGTTCCTTCATTGTACATTTAAAGAAATTGAGGCTCAAGGAAATAAAGTCAGTTTGCCTCAGATCCTTCAGCTAGTAATGACCTCAGTCCATTTGTCTCCAAAGATTATACATTATCTGCTCCTCCCAATTCTGTGATTCTATAATCGTATCAGCCAAAGCGATCACTATTGATAGTTTTGGGTAGAAACTGATTCCAAAGATGGCCATATGCATATGGGGGATAGAGAGATACCTATCTAAAGTTCCACCATGAATTATTTTACAAATAAGAAAACTGAGGCTTAGGGAGTAAATGATTTTGACAAGGATCCATATCAAGAAAGTGACAGACTCAAAATTTGGACCTATGCTTCTTCCACCAGCAAATTGGAGTTCTCTTTGCTATTTCACAATACCTACCCTGTGGCTATAACCTAGAGCCAGTTACTGACCACCTGGAATATTCTCCTCATTCTAGTAAACACAAATGCTTTAAAAACAAAGGAAACAACAAAAGTGGAATGCAGGCTGGAACTAGTTCTTGTGAAAACACACTGCCATCCACAAACATAGAAACAGCATACTTCCTAACAATTATATTTTTGTCACATAGCCACAGCCTGAAAGACTTATCTAACAATCAACATTTCAAGAGTAACCAAAGACAGCACTATAATGGAAGAGAGGAAGAATTTGACTCTAAAAGACAAATGTCATAAATTGGCGTAGAAAGAATTGGCTTTGGAAATGAGCATCTTTATGTTAGAGGCTCTTCCTCTGCCACTTTCTAGAAGTTGACTTGCCCTTTCTGAAATTCAGTTTCCTCATTTACAGAAATGGGGCTGATGTTGTTTACCTCACGGAGTATAAGGAGTGAAATGATAACAATGCAGGCAAGGCCCCTAGCACGATACTTGTCACACAAAAAGTGTTCAGTGATGGTGGCTGCCAATCGGAACCTCCAAGACTGTCATGATTGGGAAACAGTGTTTATCTCAAGATACCAGGGAACCCATATAAACATATGGGCAGGAAAATGGAAGTTCAGGACACTGTTTAAGAGGGTAGAGAGAAAAGTTCACAGTCTGCAAGCATTGCAGCACATCTTGTGATAGAACTCTTCTCAAGAAAGAATTTGTAGGACCTAAAATTACCATGGTTCTCTGTCCACTAAGGCATTTCTTTGTAAACATTCTTAGTATGGCTGTCTTAATGACATGTAATCATTTCATATAATCTCCTCTTGGACAGAGAGTTTGTTTTACATATCTTTCTATTCCTAATGCTATTTCAGTATCAATACTCAAAATAGGCTTTATTGAATTTATGAATAAAAGGTTTAATTAATTAATCAATTAATGTCATTTGGCCTACCACAAAGGAAACATAACATATACAAGTCCTTACAGTAAATGCACTCAGAGACTTCCTAATCTAGGGATCAGCAAACTTTCTCTATAAAGGGATAGATAGTAAATATTTTTGGTTTTGAGGGGAATATAGTCTCTGTCATGTACACTCAACTTTGCCATTGTAACAAGAAAATGGCCACAGGTAACTGCAAAAATGAATGAATGTGTCTGTGAGATTTATGAACACTAAAATTTAAATTTCACATAACTTTCATGTGGCATAAAATATTCTTTTTATGTTTTTCAACCATTTAAAAATGTAAAAATCAGTTCCTACAAAAATAAGTGGGCTGTAATTTGTTGATCCCCAGGTTCCAGTCCATGCTACAATCATCTGAGAATGTTTCCATACAGAGCTACTTCCAATTATTTCTGATAAGATTGAATCTAAAGTCACTTCTCCAAAACTACCAAATTGTTTTTTACATAGAACCAAATTCAAAATATATACAAATGGTAACTATATTCTTATTTTCAAATTCCTATGGTTAACCTGATATGCCTGCATCATAATACAAGCATGAGGGTCTTTATTGCAGATATGATTTAGGAAAGTGCACTCTGTTAACAGATCTAGTCCCTTGAACTTAAGCATTTCTTCCTCTAAATGATATTTTATTGGAAAATCAATGGTTATTCCATAAATATAAGGTTCATAAAATATGCATCAGGATCTTCCTGAAACTAAATTTCATGATATATATTTTGTTTATTTTAAACTCATACATATAATCTGAATGAACTAACCTTATATGTTTATAAAGTTCAGATAATTATCCACATTGCTATTTATGCTGCATTTCTGTCATCTCTGGCTCTGTCTCCTACAAAATGTCATGCGAGAAAAACAGGAACAGGATATCTGTGAGATTTAAATATCTCCTAATCTAGTTAGTTTATATATCAGCTATTGAAAGCAAAGTGAAAACCAAGACAATAAATAATGAGACAATCTTTAGCTATTTTAAAAACCAAACAAGTACAGTCTTATCACTTGTGTTCATTTTGATTTTAAATTTGCCAGGTGTGGTGGCACACACCTGTAGTCCCAGCTACTCAGAAGGCTGAGGCAGGAGAATCACTTGAACCAGGAGGCAGAGGTTGCAGTGAGCGGAGATCATGCCACTGCACTCCAGCCTGGGTGACAGAGTGAGACGTCGTTAAAAAGGAAAAAAAAAAAAAGCATTATTTATGGTTTGCTGTGGGAAAAGGCATACTCTTACAAGAGCTAATCTTAGTGCCTAAAATGTAGAAGAAGAGTAGGGAAAATTCACTTAAAATGATTGTTTGGAGCCCATCTCAACATCATCACTGACTCACCTGAACTTTGGGAAGTTAAAAACTCCCCAAGTCACAGTTTCCCCTTTGTTAACTTTTCATAGAAATTCTTTTGTTCATGTGCTGGTGATTCAGAGAATACTTTAATGCCACATCTGTATAAGAGCAGCAAAGCTGGGTGAAAGCCAAGGGAAAAAAAAAAAAGAGGCCCATTGACCAGAGGTTACATTTCTGCCCCAAGAGTCAGGAGTAATAATTCCAGATCTCTGCAGTTAAATAAGTCACCAGAGTCAGTCTGAGTGGCTATTGTTGCCTGTTGCTTACTCATTTTTAAATACTAATTCAAGTTGACCAAGCATATATGTGTATATATACATGTATATGTATGTTACACAACAATTGATACCTAAAATAACCCTAGTTATCTAGTGTTATAATATTTTTAGAGCTATGTCTTCCAAGACTTCCAAAAGTTCATAGAATGTTTATCTCCTTCTCTTGGTTCTTGTGACACTTTTAGTGTACCTGTTGGGTTTCTAGCATTTATTCTTTTCCCTAGAGTTTCTAACTTTCTAAGAGTTCTAAAATCTTAATGTTTTACATTATCTATTTGCCTTACAAATTAATATCAATTTTATTTTTTCTACTATTGTAATTATTTGAAGTAGTATGTGCTCAATGTAAAAACACAGAAAAACAAAAATTAATCATCTTCTCCAGCCTCCAACCAACCTCTTCTGGAGACATTAATATTTCATATTAATATTCCACTGTATAATATTCCACAAATAAATCTATTAAAATATTTCCAGCCATTCTCTAAATTGATAAACATTCATATTTTTCTCATGTTTTGCATCTCTTCTAAACCCCAACCAATTCCATCCAAAGATTATCAGTGTTGCCTTTTTGATATCTATCCTCTCTCACCTGTCTCTATATACATTGAGGTGTACACCAACCTATATACCCATGTATTAATTTTTGTTTACTTCATTTTTGACAAAATTTAAGCAAAATATATTATTTCATTAAAACTTACTTCGTTTCATTTAAAAATGAATTGCGGACATGCTTGCATATAAATAAATTGATCTTATTCTATTTTGATGGCTGCACAATAATCCGCAAAGTGATTGTATTAAGATATTTCCAGTCATTCTCTAACTTGAACATTCAGATTTTTTTCCATGTTTTCCACTGCAAACATCCATATGCATATTTTTTCATGCGCTTGTGCAAATATTCTCTAGGACATATTTCCAAAGAGGAATTTGCTGTCAAGTAACTTTCCTGACAGGTTAAATGCGTTCACTCCAAGTGTATGTGAATACTGATGCTATCAAATTCTTTAATGTTTCTCAATAGCATGAGGGGAAAATTATATTTTTTTACTGCTTCAAGCACTTTTTGACTACTAATGAGATTAATCATATTTTCAAATATTTATTGGCCACTTGACTTTATTATTATTTTTCAGTTAGGTTATCTTTTTAAATCAATGTATGGTAATGCTTTACATGTTTGAAATAGTAACACCTTCTCTGTCATTAAGTATCAAATATATTTCCTCTGAATCTCTCATTTGACTTTTTATGATGTAGTTCAATGTATAGAAAAATATTTTCTTTCATAGTCATCCATTTATCTCTTCCCTTAAGGTCTCTATTGTTCTTTCTTTCCTAAAGAACTTTTCATTTTTACTTTCTTTTGTAGCTAGCCCTTTAATGTATTTGTGGGGTCTTTTGTATAACACATCATGTAAGAACATAATTTTGTGTTTTCCAACTAGATTGGGAAATCAATTCTGCCACCACTATTTACTGAATATATCATTCTTTCCCTACTGAATTGAAATGGCATCTTCACATTAGGTTCCACTATATGCATGAACTCTCTAGTTAGTTCTGTGATCTACTTATCTACTTCTATACCAAAATCATACAGGTTTGATGATAATAGCTTTGAAACAAGTTTTGATATCTGGTTATGCCAAGACCCCATTACTAATATTATTCTAAAAATTGTTGGCAATTCTGCAACATTTATTCCAGATGAACTTCTGTTTTGTCCTATTTTTAACAACATGTGAAAATTCTGATTGAATAAAAGCTTTATATATTCATTTTTGAATGACTGATATTTTTATAATACTAATTTTTAAAATTCTGAAACAAGACATGTCTCTTAATTTATTTAAAACGTTCAATAATATTTTATAATTTTTGTGCAGGATATGTGCAGGATATGTCTGCACATATCCTGAAGCCTTCTTTTAAATACATTTCTTCCTTTCTAACTGATTATTAATATAAAGAAAAGCAATTTATTTGCTTTTCCAATAATCTTATACCTTCTACTTTATTAAATTATAATACCTTTAGTTATATCACTTGGATTATATGCAAATAATAATGTTCTATGTTGTCATGGTTCTATAGTGTCTTCTAGGCCCTGCTTATAATATTTAAACTTGTTCATGTCACAGTTATTTAATATTTGTTGTTTATTGTCTTGAATGCTTCTGCATAGCTGCTGCCCAAATAGATGATCCAACAAATGATTCACAAACAATAACAGGATGAAATTATGCAAATAAAGATGTTTGTCTCTTTTAATATTTATGCTTTTTTTTTCTTGTCTCATTGCTTTATTTAGAACCTCCAAAATATCACTTAATAATGAAGATAACTGAGTATCTTAGTCTCACTTTATCTTTTCAATTTTACTTTAAATTCTGGGGGATACATGTGCAGAATGTGCAGGTTTGTTACGTAGGTATGCTTGTGGCATGGTGGTTTGCTGCACCTACTGAGCCGTCCTCTATTTCCCTCCCCTCGCCCCCCACCCCACCAGGCCCCAGTGTGTGTTGTTTCCTTCCCTGTGTCCATATGTTTTCATTGTTCAACTCCCACTTATGAGTGTTTTATGTTCCTGTGTCAGTTTGCTGAGGATATGGCTTCCAGCTTCACCCATGTCCCTGCAAAGGACATTATCTCATTCTTTTTTATGGCTGCATAGTATTCCATGGTGTATATGTACCAGATTTTCATTATCTAGTCTATCACTGATGGGCATTTGGGTTGGTTCCACGTCTTTGCAATTGTAAATAGCGCTGCAATAAACATACATGTGCCTGTGTCTTTACAGTAGAATGATTTATATTCCCTTGGGTATATACTTAGTAATGGGATTGCTGTGTCAAGTGGTATTTCTGGTTCTAGATCCTTGAGGAAACACCATACTGTCTTCCACAATGGTTGAACTTATATTTACATTCCCACCAACAGTGTAAAAGCATTCCTGTTTCTCCACAGCCTCACCAGCATCTATTGTTTCTTGACTTTTTAATAATTGCCATTCTGTTAGTCCCACTTTTAATGATAAGAATTCTAGTATTTTATTGTTTATTATGATGCACGCTATTGAGATTTTTAATAGTTTTATTATGTGGTGATCATTTTCTCTGTCTCCATTTTACTTATCATTTTATTAGGAATGCAGCTAAATTTAAGTGATTTTTAAGACTCAATAAAATGATATTGCTTTATTCTTCTTTCATTTGAAAATGAGATGAATTATGTTGCTGCCCTTTTTCTTATTGAGCCTTCCTTTCATTCCTGGAGTGCAACTTGCTTTGTTTTGTTATTCCTTTAAAAAACTCTAAATTTGAGTTACTTATATGGATCTAGTTCTAAAATGTTTATACTGTCAGTATTATTTCCATATTAAGGTTATGCTAGCTAAGTAAAATGTTGTGTGTGCTTTCTCTGTGATCTTGAGTTATTGCTTTATGCATGACTCATCTCTTTTTGAATGTTACCTAGGACACAGGTATAAAACCATCTGGACCTAATACGTTTAAAAATACTGAGAGTTCTATAACAAACTTTTATAGCAACATTTCTAATTTTTTCTGCAGCCATTGGTCTGTTTAGGTTTTCTCTTTTATATGGTAAAATCTAGCATTTATGTTTTGCTTGATAAAACTTTTTCTTTCTAATTTATAACCAGACAGTTCCACATACTTTCTTAAAATTCTGTTAATATCAATGACATCTATAATTATATTTTCTTTATTATATCTAATATTACATGTTTTTCTTTGTTCATAAGTCAGAAATCCAGGAAGTTACCTGATATATTTTTAATAATAAAATATATCAAATAAAATGAGGAGATAAATAATAACTCTCTTAAAGATCCCATTCATATGAGATAGATAACTTGTTATAGTAATCAAAAATTTTTTTTTTCTTCCCTGACATAGTAAGAAATCAACCCAGGCAAGGATGGCACAATAGACTAGTTTAATTTCTTAACCCAATCAGGTAACCTTGGATTTTATTTAGTTATTTTGGCCAACTGGGGGTTGGTACAACATGTTTCCACTTCATGTTATTTATTATAGGTGAGGTGGAATAATCTAAGCTAAAAGAAAAGGCATCCTGGCCTTCTAAAACAGACTTGGGGAAGTATTATCTTCTTGATCAGGCCTGAGAAATCTTTTGCCATGGTTCTATAGTGTCTTATAGGCCCTACTTATAATACTTAAACTTGTTCTTGTCACAGTTATTCAATAATTGTTGTTCATTGTCTTGAAAGCTTCTGCATAGCTGCTTTTCAAATAGATGGTCCAACAAATGATTCACTAACGAAAACAGGATGAAATCATGCTGATTAAAAATGAAACCTCATCTTCATTAAAATAAACAACAGTAGTGAATACTTTTGCAATCTTCCTGCTGCTTTATCCGGATAAGAAGTTAGAATACAAATATTGATACAATCTTTGGAAAAAGAGTGATTGTTCTTTAGCCATCATAGCAAGTAGTCCTAAGAACAACTTTTAAATCCATCCAATTGATTAATGGCAATTTTGCCTCAATTAACATGCTTTTTAAAGCCAATCAATCCATAGCCATCCCTCACTTCTGAAAGTCAACCAATAAGGAACAGACTCACTCTAAAAAACATGCCTCTGAATGCCAACCAATCAATAAAAATCTAAACTGAATAATCATGCTTGAACAGATTATGTCAATCTACTTATGCCTCTTAAAATGTGCTAATCCTTGAGCCCCATGCTGTCCAAAAACCTTGTATATAATCAGTAATCTACTCTTCTCCAGGAGACTGTGTCTGAATTAAATAGTTCTCCCTTGCTATAAGCAATCAGCTCAGCTTTGTCTTTTAATTTCAGATATTAAGTCATAATCTCACCCCCTTTGACAATCAATCAAGATTTATTTAATGCTAACCACTGAAATTAAAAAACAAACAAAGACGGCAAGATAAGTTGGCTGCTCCTCTGTCAATTTAAAGAGTAAAATGCACAATATTTTAAAATGTGTTTAATGGCCCCAAATATCCTAAAATACGGTAAAGACACAGGAAATATATAGGAATATATAGATGAGAAATTATTGACTTGATATATAGCTGATTAAAATAATTCTAATCTGGCATATGTACAAGTTACTTATGTTTCATATTACCTATAATTCTTATAACGCTGACTTCTAGTACTACCTTAAATCCATTTTGAGACTAGACAGATGGGAAAGAAAAGAAGGGAGAAGGAAAGTAGGATCTGAAAGAGGAAAGACAATAAAGGAGAAAAAGTAAAAGGAAGATAAAAAATAAGTCTAGCATATTATTTATGGGAAAGACAAAGCTTCAACAAATCAGTAAACTAAACAGTGGCTGTTTGGTCCTCTCTTTCATTTGCCATACCCTCACTCCCAGCCTCTGTGGTACTCTCTGTATGCTCTCTTTGTCTTAACTGAGGATCTAAGGTGACCTCACTTGACTGTCAACTGACCCCCATAAGTAGGTAATAAAGCCACCATTCAAAAACATTTATTATGCACTCACAATGTGTCAGATCCTTTGCTGCATGTTATCCCTCACAGACAGATTCTCAATGACCCAAGGCACATAAAACTCAAAGTAATAAATTTATTGGTGAAATTTTAAGCTCTTGAGTACCTGGCAAGGTATATATCTGGGAGCAGGGAACCACACAAATAGCCATAATAGTGTTTGTGAACTTTGGTAAATCCTATAAGCCTTATTAAATTTCAATCTACTTCTAACTTTTCCAAGAACAAGTTCAGGGGGAATAAAATTATTCCTTTCACATTTCTCTGTGTCTGCATGTGAAGGGAGAAGTGAAGGGTGAGAGGGACTTTTATTTAAAAGTTTACCACAAGCATGGCAGAAAACAACAAATTTGGCTGATACAACCTTGGTTATTATTATCAGAAACAGAGCATAAGCTGAATGGGTCTCTATGGTCTCCTACTATTTTGCATTTTATGACTGTCATTATTCTCTGTGTATAAGAAAGGTTATAGCTGTTATATTATATTCCTTTTGACCTCAAGTTTCTTTACTATAAAGACTTAAATATCTATGCTTACATTAATACAAACACAGTTTCCTAATTCTATTTGCTAAGTTACTGCTGAACACAATACCCATTTGATGGTGAAGCTTTCTTCACCACGAAAATGTCAGTTTCCATTATCTTTACTACAAAATTAGCCCTAAAAATTATTTTTTAAACTGGAAAGGGAAGCAACTGAACACTGTATGGGATATAATTGTTGGATACATTTAATGTGTCTTGAATTGTTAAATTTATCTCCTTAACAAAAACATTTGCTTTCTAAAACTATATTTATTGAATAAATAAACTTTTTAATGTTTCCCTACTTTTTTCACAAAACAGACTGTGTAATTCCTTTAAATGGAAAGTCACTGTCTGAATCTCAAATCTTCCAGCAGTTCTCTCTCTATGTCTGACATTTTCATAAGCCAGAAGTTAAGGTCCACAAAAGAATCTCAGGCATTGCCTGGCATTCTTCTCTCCTTTAATTTCCTCCCTTCCTTCCTTTATGAGGCATTGGCAGAACTGGTTTAATGTGGCCTCTTACAAAACTAAACCACAGAAAACACTTTTTGTATTTGCATGTGTGCATATCTGTGTGTGTTATTGGTTTGTTTACTAACATATTTGTATTAGTTTTAAACGGAAATAACTTCATTAAATGGACATAGCTCCTATAAAATTGTAAGAGTAATTGAAGCCAGAAGTTGTCATCCCATCAAGTAAACAAGCTGTTTACATAACAATATTATTTCAGAGGGAACCAGATCATAGTATCTTTTTGACAATCTATTGTTTTGCACTGTCCCTCACTATATGACTATAGGCAATTCCTGAAGTTCTCTCTTTCTCAGTTTCCCCATCTGTAAAAGGAGATAATAATTACTCTATGATGTGCAATCGTTAGAACTACATGAGGTCACACACAACAATTATGCAAAGTTTTGCATGAAAATTTCAAAAACAAATACTCTTTTCCAGCATACATATGGCAAGCTTGGGGAAAGGGTATGCAGAGGAAGGGGATTAAAATAAAAAATTGAATAAGACTAATAAAATGAGCATTTTTTCATGTGTCTCTTGGCTGCATAAATGTCTTCATTTGAGAAGTGTCTGTTTATATCCTTCGCCCACTTGTCAATGGGGTTGTTTGTTTTTTTCTTGTAAATTTGTTTGAGTTCATTGTAGATTCTGGATATTAGCTGTTTGTCAGATGAGTAGATTGCAAAAATTTTCTCCCATTCTGTAGGTTGCCTGTTCACTCTGATGGTGGTTTCTTTTGCTGTGCAGAAGCTCTTTAGTTTAATTAGATCCCATTTGTCAATTTTGGCTTTTGTTGCCATTGCTTTTGATGTTTTAGACATGAAGTCCTTGCCCATGCCTATGTCCTGAATGGTAATGCCTAGGTTTTCTTCTAGGGTTTTTATGGTTTTAGGTCTAACATTTAAGTCTTTAATCCATCTTGAATTAATTTTTGTATAAGGTGTAAGGAAGGGATCCAGTCTCAGCTTTCTACATATGGCTAGCCAGTTTTCCCAGCACCGTTTGTTAAATAGGGAATCCTTTCCCCATTTCTTGTTTTTGTCAGGTTTGTCAAAGATCAGATAGTTATAGATGTGTGGTATTATTTCTGAGGGCTCTGTTCTGTTCCATTGGTCTATATCTCTGTTTTGGTACCAGTACCATGCTGTTTTGGTTACTGTAGCCTTGTAGTATAGTTTGAAGTCAGGTAGCGTGATGCCTCCAGCTTTGTTCTTTTGGCTTAGGATTGACTTGGCAATGCGGGCTCTTTTTTTGGCCATGAGAGAAATGGAAATCAAAACCACAATGAGATACCATCTCATGCCAGTTAGAATGGTGATCATTAAAAAGTCAGGAAACAACAGGTGCTGGAGAGGATGTGGAGAAATAGGAACACTTTTACACTGTTGGTGGGACTGTAAACTAGTTCAACCATTGTGGAAGTTAGTGTGGCGATTCCTCAGGGATCTAGAACTAGAAATACCATTTGACCCTGCCATCCCATTACTGGGTATATACCCAAAGGATTATAAATCATGCTGCTATAAAGACACATGCAAACGTATGTTTATTGTGGCATATTCACAATAGCAAAGACTTGGAACCAACCCAAATGTCCAACAATGATAGACTGGATTAAGAAAATGTGGCACATATACACCATGGAATACTATGCAGCCATAAAAAATGATGAGTTCACGTCCATTGTAGGGACATGGATGAAGTTGGAAACCATCATTCTCAGCAAAGTATTGCAAGGACAGAAAACCAAACACCGCATGTTCTCACTCATAGGTGGGAATTGAACAATGAGAACACTTGGACACAGGAAGGGGAACATCAAACACCGGGGCCTGTTGTGGGGTGGGGGGAGGGGGGAGGGATAGCATTAGGAGATATACCTAATGTAAATGAGCAGTTAATGGTTGCAGCACACCAGCACGGCACATGTATACATATGTAACAAACCTGCACATTGTGCACATGTACCCTAGAACTTAAAGTATTATAAATATATATATATATATTAAATTAAATTAAAATAAAATTTTTAAAAAAGACTAATAAAATGCACAGTAGCTTCTCTCCTAAGCAGCCTAGAAAATAAGTTACACAACTACTATTTTGTTAACACTATTAGTGAGGAGGAATCCAGACCACGGGTCTAAGAATTCAAAGACAATTTGCCTTAAGTCAATTTGTTACACCAGACATACATACAATAAGCATTTCAAGAGATATATTCTGTGTATTCCTTGGTTTCTAAGAGACACTTTATTTTATAAAACCCTCCCACCAGTAATAAATTTTTTTCTTATTTTTACTTCATTTTGTTATTTTCAACTTTATTATTAAACCAAATGCTCTGTTATGAAATTCTGCCTACAAAATTCCATGGTGTCTATATCAGCTTCCACTGCATCTTTTTACGGTCAAATCTGTGTCTATGTTAGCATTTCTATTATACATTTGTTTTCTAGGAGTTTAAAGATCACCCATAAAAATTAACTAAGGCTGAAATGGCAGACAGCTCAGAAGCACATTTTGTTTTTACCAACTTTCAATAAATTCATATGGCTGTTTCTAAATTCTTATATATCAGGCTAAAGTAAAAGAAATCCTGGCCAACAGGTGACACTTATTTGGGCTAATTCACTGCAAAAACAATGGGATATTTTTGGTTTTGTATTTTTGTTTTTTAATGCAATTATTCCATGACTGGCTCTCATCTCTCCTCCAAGTCCCTCAGCCCCCTCCTGGCTAGATGCCTGGACACATTGGTAGCCGGCCTGACTGACACCTGCAGCCCAACACTTCTGGCCATGAGTTGCATAGCTAACATTTCATGCTGTCATAGGACTGTGAAGTTTTCTGGGCGCTGCCAACAGAATCATCACACTGCAAATTTCTTTGGCTCAGCCCTGCTCCTCCTCTGTCCCAACTGAAGATATGCCCCTTTGGGTATTGTAGTCACATCCATAAATCCCAGGAGGCAGCATGTGAAAAACTACTACTTACCCCTATAAGCAGAGCTGTCTTTACTCTGACAAATCAGGCCATCACTTTGAACTGTTGGGAAAGAATTCTCCATGGGTCTCTCGTGTTTCTGCATGTCTTGCAAATGAGTCATTGACTGATCTTTATTCAAAACTACCTTTTCAAGGAGTTTGTATGGTGAACAGACTTGGAAGATACAGATAATGCCTCCCTTTGGTGAAAAGGGCAGGCATGCTCACTGTCCAGCATAATAAAGGTAATGTTTCCCAGCAAATCGAAGGAAAGGCATGCTTACTGCCCATTAAGGACTTAGGCTCCTAAACTTAAAGTTCCTCTCCAGCTTTTGTGAGTATCCTCTGGCCCTCTTCCTAGTCACTCTGTGGGATTGGAGTTAAGGGAACCTGCACATAAATGCTGACTCTCTGGCAACTGCTATTGCTGTTAGTAATAATTTCCTTCATTTCTGACCCAGAAGTCTCATGTATTGTAACAGCATTCATGAAACTGTTGTAGGCTTTGCAAGTAGGGTGAAACTCAGCCTCTTCACAGTTCTCATTATGAACATACAGGCTGTCTCTTTTACTAAAATGTAAGCTCCTTGAAAGCTAAAATCCTTTATTTGTCACTGTATCTCCAAAACTTACACCAATACCTGCTAAATAAATGCTATTCCCTGAGGATAAAAGGCTTAATGAAGGAAGGGAGACTTGAGCTGAACTCTGATTTTTTCCCTTGCATCCTCTACTCTGCTGTGAGGTATTGAAAATACCATTCAGAAGCAGAATCAAAGCCTCTCCAGAAACACTGTTGTCTTTTAGATTGCCAGTAGAAACGTACGGTATACTCTTACTTCTTTGCTTCTAATAGATGACAGAATATAGCCTCAGACATTCTGTGTCCTCTCAGTTAGAATGAGCGTGAGATTTTTCGTCTTCAGACAGTCTCTGCTTCTTAAATGTTTCTGCTCGGTCTCCTCAGATGGCAGAATTGGGGCAGCCATCAAGTGAACAGTGGGTCATTCACACCTCACCTAAAAACTTGTCTGTCAAGGGATAATCAGCTCCTATTACTTATTTTTGAATATTTTTCCCCCAAATTTAGAAAAGATTCCTTCCCACTGTTCTTTGGTCTGAATTTATGACAATGCCTAATTTATTACACTGCTTTCAGAGGAGTATTTTTTCAATTTTTTAAATTTTACTTTATGTTCCAGGATACATGTGCAGAGGGAGAGTATTAGGACAAATACCTGATGCATGCAGGACTTAAAACCTAGATGACAGGTAGATTGGTGCAGCAAACCACCATAGCACATGTATACCTACATAACACGAGATTTTTATGTTCTTATAAATAGCTTAGGAAGTTTAAAGCTAGTTTGCAGTTTCGTTTAAAACTAAAAGGGCCAGTGTGCTATGTTCCAGAGCAGCAGTTATATTGGGCAAAGCCAAGAGAGGATAGTGTGGTTCATGACAGCCAAAAGAAAGAAAATCCTGCTTTGGCTTGAGCAGGTGCTCTGGTGTGGAGCAGCAGGAAAGCCTATGTGGGAAGTTTCTTTTTCTTTTCTTTCTTTCTTTCTTTTTTTTTTTTTTTTTTTGAGATGGAGTCTTGCTCTGTTGCCCAGGCTGGAGTGCAGTGGCGTGGCCTCCGCTCACTGCCAGCTCCGCCTCCCCAGTTCACGCCATTCTTCTGCCTCAGCCTACCGAGTAGCTGGGACTACAGGTGCCCGCCACCATGCCTGGCTAATTTTTTGTATTTTTTAGTAGAGACAGGGTTTCACCGTGCTAGCCAGGATGCTCTCGATCTCCTGACCTCGTGATCCACCCACCTCGGCCTCCCAAAGTGCTGGGATTACAGGCATGAGCCACCGTGCCTGGCCCCATGTGGGAAGTTTCTGTCTCAACTCTCAAATCTGCTGGATTTATACTGTTATTGGATAAAGAAGTTCCTTAAAATTAATGATGTAGAAAGCGTAAAACTTGTCAATATTTCTCAAGCCTTCCATTTTTACTTTTGCCATTATTTTCAAATGTCTAATGTGGAAAACCTTAAATGTTCACACCTCACTTCCAACTTACAAAAAGGTGACAGTAATACACTAATAGCTGGGAGGCCAAGAATACCCTGGTGCAATGAAAACAAAATGTTTTCAAAACTAGGACCCCATCCCAGTCCAACAGTTGTACTTACCAGTCTCATGTTTTAAATCATTACAGATTCCAACTTCAGAAGGGCAAATACCTCATGAATTAGCTCTAAATTAAAACAGAAAAAGTTTGACATGGATTTAGTGTTGAAGACAGAGAAGGATTAATAGTGCTTGGCCTAAAGAAAGCTCAAGCCCAGGCAGGTGGCAGGCAGAAATCCACTCAGTAGAGCCAACACACCTCAGCCAGGCCCTGTTTACCCAACCTCTGGCCTCCTCTTCAACAGACACTGCCAACCGAGCAAACCAAGCTAAATGGTATGGTGGTTTTCTAATGAGGCTAAGTAGGAACAAGAAGGAACGAAGTAAACTTTTCCTTGCGGCCAAAGCAAGTCTGATTATGAGCTCAGACCTCCCGAGGCGAGAGGCTTATGTACTCACCAGCTGCTGTTTCACTGGCCTTCACACGAAGGCTATGGTGTGGCCATTCACGAAGTGCTCTTAAAAGTGGTGCCAGGAGTTCCCTTGAAATGGTTTTTCATTCTGGGCAGTGGCGCAATCTCTGGGTGTGAAATCACGTCTGAGGTTTACAAGCTATTGCTGACATCAATGAAATGCAACATTTGTTTTGCTTCTTTCAGTGTCCTATAGGCATACTGGCACTCATTAAATGCTTCCTAAAAATATCATTTGGCAAACATTCATGTTTTGTTCATAAAGACTTATGTACATCATGGGGAGGGTCATGTTAGAAGGCTACTATAAAAATATAAGCACATGCATTCATCAAATCAAATTGTTTCATTTTAATTAATATGCAGGGTTTTTTTCTCTCTGTCCAGAAGCACAGCTTATATTCCAAAGGACTCCTTTTGGAGCTTCCGTGTGCCTTCAGATGAGTCCGCACCTCTCTCAACTTGAGGCAAAGTTACACGTCTGTGGGTCAGGTTTCCTAAGATAACATTTGAAACATAAAGAGCAGGCCACTTAAGAATACTTCAGCAGGATGTTTCACCAATTAATTCCTCAGTTAAACAATTAAACAAGCTTGCCTACATGAGATTCCCATTGCCATGAGACTCAAATGCTGTCTTTTCAGGGTATAAGTAAAGCACAAGAATTGGCAAGACCTGTTATTTGAACCAGACTAAAGAGTAAACTAATGAATGTCTTGTTTAACTCAAGCCAACATTTACTAAACACCTGTCATTACAACCCTGGGATCCATAAGAGAAGACATCAGTAGAGGAGAAAGCAGTTCCTCATTGCTCTATTTGCAGCCTCATCCCAACCCCAGGCAGCAGTTAAAGAGAGAACAGGAGTAAAAATTAACAGGAAATATAAATAAGAAGAAAAATGGTGACTGGTTGAAGAATTGTTGGCAGAAAACCTGCATTGACTGACTTTTCCACCCTCTCATGTGCACCCAAGTTTAAAGCAGAAAAATTATGTGAAGTAATCGAGCTATCTGCCTGCTATGGTTTGAGTGGTTGTCCCCTCCAAAACTCATGTTGAAATTTCATTTCAACAGTATTAAGAGGTGGGACCTTTGAGAAGTGATTAGGCCATAAGGGTTCCTACCTCATGGGTGAGATTACTGCCATTCTAAAAAGACATGTTTGGTCCCCTTTTGTCTCTTTGCCCTTCTACCTTCTGCCAATGTGAAGACAAAGCCTTCCTCTCCTCAGCATCATCTTGGCATCGGAATCACCAAACCTGCCAGTGCCTTGATATTGGACTTTCCAGACTCTAGAACTGTGAGCAAATAAATTTTTGTTCATTGTACATTACCAAATCTTAGGTATTCTGTCAAAGAAGCCCAAAACAGATTGACACACTGCCTCAGAGGAACTCTGGCTTTCAAGTAGGGCACTAAAGCCACATAATAGAGTCCTCATTGTTTTGGCAAGTCTTGTGGAGGTGGGAGTAGAGGATTCTGCCTTCCTGTCCCAAGCCTGCAGTAAAGTCAAATGGCCAGCAAGCTGTCTACACTACACTGAGCTCAGTAAACTCTCTCATTCAGGACATAGGCTAGTAAAGTCAGGTAAACAACAAAGCAGTAATCTATATGAATGAACCTAATTCTTCATTCACAAATACGAATATAAAACCCAGAACTATCAGACATTTAAGAAAACCCATCAAAACCAAGGAGAAGGACAAAGACAACCAAGTAGAACTGAACCCAAAGGAAACAAAAATAATTTCACTTCAATCAAGAGAATTTTAAATCACTGTTACTAAAGATATTGGAAGAGATTTTAAAACACATTTTTAGAAATCTCATAAAGGAGTAATGAGAAAGAAAGAAAAAGTTCTTGGAAAATAATAATGTGACAGCCAAAATAAAACTTGCAAAAGAAAGTTGGAATAAAACATTTAAGGCCATCTCCCAGTAAATATAAAAGGCATAATTATTTTAAAAATGAGAGAAAAACAAAAAGACAAAGAAAAAATCAAGGATGTCCAATATCTACTTAATAAGAGTTCCAGAAAAAGAAAAAGGAAAAGGAAAACAAAGCAAAGGAAATAATGAAAGAGTTAACAGCATAAACTTTGTGAAAACTAAAAACAGGTATTCAAATTGAAAGGTCTCACTGTTTGAAGAGCAGAATAAATAAAATAATACCCGCATCAGCGGTGGCTCATGCCTGTAATCTCATCACTTTGGGAGGCTGAGGCAGGCAGATCATGAGGTCAGGAGTTTAAGACCAGCCTGATCAATATGGTGAAACCCCGTCTCTACTAAAAATACAAAAATTAGCCGGGCGTGGCAGCGCCTGCCTGTAATCTCTGCTACTCAGGAGGCTGAGGCAGGAGAATCACTTGAATCTGGGGGTTAGAGGTTGCAGTGAGGCGAGATCTGTGCCACTGCACTCCAGCTTGGAAGACAGAGCAAGACTTCATCTAAAAACTAATAATAATAATAACAATAATAATAATACCCACATATTGGCTCATACTTACAAAATTCAGAACAGCAAGAAAAGAAATAGCCAAAAAGTATCCACAAAGAAGTTGACTACAAGGAAGCAAAAATCAGATTCATAACACATTTCTCATTAGCCATACTGAATATTGTATACTACTGAAACAATGTCTTTATGAATATTACAGGAAATTATTTTCAACTTAGAATTCTGTATCTAGCCAAAGTTTCAGTCAAAATATGAAAAAATTATAAAGACATTATTGTACATACAAATAATGAGCAAATTCATATTCCTTTCTATAAAAAGTTACTTGGGCCAGTCATAGTGGCTCATGGTTGTAATCCCAGCACTTTGGGAGGTTGAGGCAGGCAGATCACCTGAAGTCAGGAGTTCAAGACCAAAATAGTGGAACCCCGTCTCTACTAAAAATATAAAATTAGCTGGGCATAGTGGCGCATGACTGTAATCTCAGCTACTCGGAAGGCTGAGGCAGGAGAATTGCTTGAACCTGGAAGGCAGAGGTTGCAGTGAGCTGAGATCGCGCCATTGCACTCCAACCTGGGCAACAAGAGTGAAACTCCGTCTCAAAAAAAAAAAAAAAAGTTACTTAATGCACTACAGCTAAACTAAAATGGAAACCACAAAAGGGAAGACATAAAATCCAAGAGAATCCATAATAATGCTTCTGCAGCAGGACTAGGATGCATATCCGTGCATCCAACAAATAGTACAATTAAGAACTTGAATTATCTTAGGCATATAGTTATTTTTAAAGCCCCCATTCCTCCTATAAACACACACATACATGCATACACACATACCAATACACAAAAGGCATTACAAACTCTAAGAAGAACAAAAATTACACAAGAAAATTTGGATCCAAGTAAGAAACATATTAAAATGTCATTGTTTACAGCAACAGGCAACTGAGAAAAGAGAATTTATTTGACTTTCATGCTTGGAACATCTTCCTCCAAACAATACAGATTTAAAGATGTAAAATGTTATTTATTTTTCTGAATTTTTACATGTAGAAATATTTACATAATCATCACAATTTAAGTGCTTCTTCTTATTTTCCATTTTAAGTTCAATTTATAGGCAAAGCATGGAAGCCATAATTTTAGTAAAGGGAAAGAATGTAACTGTTGGAAAATCTGACCATGTAAATTGAGGGTACTGTTGGCAGATTTTGAAAGAGAAGAGGGGAAAGAGAAATGGAGATGAATATATAAGCAAACTAAAGTCTAATAAAGTTCTCATTTTATATAATTGGAAGTAAAGAAAATGTTCTGACATTCCCCAGGAGACAATGTAAAGGTATTATTTAAAGTTATAAAGATAGCCAGTACAAGTACCAAAAATAAAAATCAGGAAAGAAGAAATGAATGAAAAATAGTCAGAGAAGGGAGTGATTAGACACAAATTTAACTAGAAGATAACTAACTAGAGGTGTAAGCATATTATTTAACATGTGAAAGAGAAGTCAAACCCAGAAATGGTCAAACATAATTTTGTTTGACGCGGCAATTCTCCAAGTACAGCCTAGGACCCCAGACAAAGTCAAAACTATTTTTATAATAATATCATTTTTATTATATTTGCCTTTTTATTTGTCACTTTGACATCATTGTACAGTGGAGGATTCTACAGACTACATGATGTATGATATCTCAACAGATTGAAGCCTACTATCTTTTATTAATCAGGCATTAAAGAGATGTGCAAAAATACAAAAGAATGCCACTCTTCTAATTATGACTGACATTTTAAAATACATTTTAGTAAATTATGGTTTTCAATGTTAATAGGTAATTAGTGTGTTATGGTTTTTTATTAATATTTTATAATTTTTTAGTTTAAATTTCTCATATGATGTATATTGATAAATTAGCAAAAGCTTTTTGGGTTCTTCAATAATTTCTTAGAATCTAAAAGAGTCCTGATGGGAGTGACATCAGCAAGATGCTGGAATAGGAGGTTCCAGACCACCTCTCCTCAGAAACTCTGATGTTGGCAACCACCCATGAAGAGCATTTTTACTTTACTATTGTTATCCTATTCCAAAAGCAACACAACTTGATACTGAGAGAGGACCCCTTTGACCACAACATTCCCATGGGAAAAAGTGAGAGTGTGGTGAGCACTCACCCTCCTTGGCCTTGTGGGATGGAGTTGACCAAGAGGCCCACTTCTATGCTGCCCACAAGAACAGTGAGGAGATCAGTACAGCTAAATCATCTAGGGACAGCTAGGAGCCCAGAGAAGAGACAGAAGCACACAGCAACTGGTGCACAGATTTTAACATGCAGCCACACATCCTGCAAACTTGCTAACTGCCTCTACCAAGAGGCCTGCCCATGAACCCTGCAGGAAACCTCACCTGAAGACATCTCCCACTAACTATGTCCTTCAAATACCCATGGGTGGCACCCTGTGCATCTTCACTGCAACCCATGCAAAGTCCCATAGAAAGCACACAAATATCAACAGCAGGGGCAGATCTTAGCCACCAGCTTGACTCTGCTAGTTTTGGAGAAAGGATACAACCTCAGGGCACTGACCTAAGGAATGCCTCAGGGCACTGCCCTAGGGAAAACAGAAGGCTCTCAGCAGCAAGTCTGGCCTTACAGGATCAAAAGAAGGCATACAATCCTAACACATACCCCTTCAGATGGAACAAGAGAAATGGAGTGGGTGCATTGATAGAAGTCTGAGAGATCACTGGAATCTCAGGCCAAGTTCACTGTGGAAGATCTTTCTATCCAGAAGC
This sequence comes from Homo sapiens, assembly GCF_000001405.40. Lineage (NCBI taxonomy): Eukaryota > Metazoa > Chordata > Mammalia > Primates > Hominidae > Homo > Homo sapiens. The sequence continues at coordinate 71,320,988 of NC_000012.12, forward strand.
CAGCCAGTAAAGACAGGAAAAGGTGATTCCTTCTTCAAATGTTAGGACAGCAAGGCAAGGCTTCAAGGAACACAAAGAATTAAGAAAATATAGCACCATCAAAGAAACAAAGTAAAACTCCAGTGGCTATCTCCAAAGAAATAAAGATTCTGAACTGCCTGACAAAGAATTTTAAAAAAAAAAGTCTTAAAAAGGCTCAGTGAGCTACAACGAAACAATGTCATGGAAACAATACAATAACAAAATGGGAAGTTCAACAAAGAGATAGACACCATTTTTTTAAAAAAACAGAAATTCTGGAGCTGAAGAATATGTCTGAAATAAAAAATTCAATAGAAAGCTTCAACAGCAGACTCAATCCAACAGAAAAAAGAATCAGGAAACTCAAAGCAAATTATTTGAAATTATCCAGTCAGGGAAACAAAAAGAAAAAAGAATGGAAAAGAATGAAGAAAGCTTATGGGACATGTAAGACACCATCAAGCAAACAAACCTACACATCATGGAATTCCAGAGGAGCAGAGAAAGGAAAAGAGGCAGAAATCTTATTTGAAGAAATAATGACAGAAAATTTCCAAGTCTGAAGAGGCAATTGAACATCTAGATCCAAGAGGCCTAAAGAATTCCAATAGGTTGAGCATAAAGAGGTCTTCACAGAGACACATTACAATCAAATTGTCAAAAGTCAAAGATAAAGAGAGAATTTGGAAAGAAGCAAGAAAAAAGTGACTTGTCACATATAAGGAAACCCACATAAGACTGTCAGCAGATTTCTCAAGAGAAATGCTGAAGGCCAGGAGAAAGTGGATAGATACCTTCAAAGTGAAAAAACAAACAAACAAACAAAACAAAACTCCTGCTAACTAAGAATAATAAACCCAGCAAATCTATCCTTCAGGAATGGAGAGATAGAATTTCCCAGACAAACAAAAGGTGATGAAGTTCATCACCACCAGATCCGCCTTATAGAAAATGCTGAAGGGAATCCTTCAAGTTGAAATAAAAGAATGCTAACAACATGAAGGCATATGAAGGTATGAAAATCACCAGCATAAGTAAATATATGGTTAAATTCACAATACTCTAATACTGAAATGGTGGTGTGAAAATCACTGTTAGCTCTAGTGTAAAAGTTTAAAGTCATAAATATTGAAATAACTATAGGTGGAATAATTTGTTAATGAGTGCATAATATAAAAAGATGTAAGTTGTGACAGCAATAATATAACATGTGAAGGAGGGAATAAACATGTAGAATTTTTGTATGTAATCAAAATTAAATTGATATCAGCTTCAAATAGATTACTGTAACTATAAGAGGTTTTATGTAAGCCTTGTGGTACTTACAAAGAAACAAAAACCTGTAGTAGATACATGAAGGATTAAAACAAAGGAATAAAAGCTACCGCTACAAAAAAAAAATCAAATCACAAAGATAGACAGCAAGAGAAGAAAAGAACAAAGGAACTACAAAACTATCAGAAAACAATTTTTTTAAATGGCAATAGTTAGTCCTCTCTAGCAATAATTACTTTAAGGTTAAATTGACCAATCTGAAGAAATAGAGTAACTGAATAGGTTAAATTTTTTTTAAATATCAAACTATATGCTGCCTTAAAAAAAAGGCTCACTTTAGTTTTAATGACACCATATGCTGAAATGAAGAGATTAAAATGTATATTCCTTGCCAATGGTAACCAAAAGAGAGCAGGGGTAGCTATACTTACATTAGGCAAAATAGACCTGAAGTCAAAAACTGTCACAAGAGACAAAATATAGTCACTATAATGATAAAGAAATCAATTCACCAAGAGGTATAGCATTGGTGTGTGTGTGTGTGTGTGTGTGTGTGTATATATATATATATACACATACACATATACATATATATATATATATATCTCACCAACATCAGGGCACATAAATATATAAAGCAAACACTGGTAGATCTGAAGAGAGAAATAGACAGCAATACAATAATTGTATATAAGACTTCAATATGCCACTTTCAACAACAGATGCATCATCCAGACAGAAAATCAATAGGGAAACATTGGACTTCAACTACACTTTAGGCCAAATGGAGCTGACATATACATAAGAACATTCTATCCAACGGCAACAGAATACACATTATTTTCAAGTGCACATGAAATATTTTCCAGAATAGGTCATATATTAGGCCAAAAAATAAGTGGTAACAAATTTAAGAACATTGAAATCATATCAATCATATCAAGTATCTTTTCTGACCACATAGATATGAAACTAGAAATCAATAACAGGAGAAAATTTGGAAAAATTACAAATATGTGGAAACTAAGCAACACACTCCTGAACAACAAATGGGTCAAAAAAGAAATAAAAAAGAGAAACAAAAAAAAATATTGAAACAAAGGAAAATGTAAATGCAACCTACCAAAATGTATGGGAGGTAGCAAAACAGTTCTAAGAGGAAAGTTTATAGTGATAAACTTCTCCCTTAAGAAAAAAAAAAAAAATCTCAAATAAAAAGACTTTACTTCTCAAGGACCCAGAAAAAGAAGAGCAAACTAAGATCAAAGTTAGCAGAAAGAAGCAAATAAAGCAGAAAAAAAAATAAAATACAAACTAGAAACACAACAGAAAAAAATCAGTGAAAGTAAGAGTTAACAACTGATAGAAAAGATAAAATTGACACACCTTTAGCCAAATTAAGAAAAAGAAGAGAAAAATCAAATACATAGAATTGCAAGTAAAACAGAAGACATTACAATTGATACCACAGAAATAAAAAGATTCATAAGAGACTACTACGAACAATTAAATGCCAACAAGGTGGATAAGTAGAAGAAATGGACAAAATTCTAGACACAAAGAACCTACCAAGACTGAAATCTGAAGAAGTGGAAAATGTGAATAAACCAATAATGAGTAAAGAGATTCAATCAGTAATCAAACATCTCCCAACAAAGAAAAACCTAGGACCAAATAAGTTCACTACTGACTTCTACCAAACATTTTTTTAAAAAATTAATGCCAATCCCTCTCAAACTCTTCTAAAATACTGAAGAGGAAGGAATACTTCCAAACTCATTTTATGAGGCCAGCATTACCCTGATACCAAAGCCAGATAAGTAGACTAGAAAAGAAAATTAGGGCCTAATATCCTTGATGAATACAGATGCAAAAATCCTCACTAAATACTAGCAAACTAATTTCAACTGCACATTAAAAAGATAATACATTATGATCAAGTGGCACTTATCCCTTGGATTAAAGGATGGTTCAACATATGAAAATCAATTAATGTGCATACCACATTAACAGAACAAAGGATTTAAAAATCACAATTGTCTTAAGAGATGCAGAAAAAGTGTTGGACAATTTTAAGTGTTGGACATTTTAAAAAAAGTGTTGGACAATTTGAAGTGTTGGACATTTTAAAAATGTTCATGACAAAAAACTCTCCAATAGAAGGAAACTCACCAGGAATAGAATGAGGAATAGAGGGAATAGAAGAGAAATTAACAAAACAAAATCCAGGAATAGAAGGAAATTGGCAAAACAAAATCACAGCTATACATGAAAAGCCCACATCGAATGCCATACTCAATAGTAAAAACTGAAAGTGTTTCCTCCAAGATCAGGCACACGACAAGATTGCCCACTCTTGCCACTTCTATTCAAGATAGTACTGGAAATTCTAGCCAGAGCACCTAGGCAAAAAAAGTGAACAAAAGACACTCAAATCAGAAAGGAAGAAATAAAATTGTCTCTATTGGCAGTTGACACAATCTTATTTATGGAAAACTATAAGTGTCCATTAAAAAACTGTTAGAACTAATACATGAATTCAGTAAAGTTACAGGATACAAAATAAACATACAAAAATCTGCTGTGTTTCTATATCTGCCAATAAACTATCCAAAAGAGAAATTGACAAAAATATTATATTTACATAAGTATCAAAAGAATTAAAATTTTAGGAATAAATTTAACTAAGGAGATGAAAACTGGTACATTAAAATCTATAAAACATTAATAAAAGTAGGCACAAATAAATAGAAAGATATCCCATTTTCATGGATTAGAAGAATTAATGTTATTAAAATATCTCTACTACCCAAAGTGATCCTATAGATTTAGTGCAATCTCTATTAAAATTCCAATCAACAGATTCAATGCATTTCACAGAAATAGAAAAAACAATCCTAAAATTTATATGGAATACCAAAAGACATCAAATGGCCAAAGGAATCTTAAGCAAAAAGAATAAAACTAGAGGCATCACACTTCTTTATTTCAAATAATATTGCAAAGCCATAGTAGTCAAAACAGTTTGATACTGGCAAAAAAACAGGCACATGGACCAGTGGAACAGAATAGAAAGCTCAGAAATAAACCTACACATACAAGGTTAAGTAATTTTTCATAAGAACACCAAGAATATACCTTGGGGAAAGGATAGCCTCTTCCATAAATAGTGTAGGGAAAACTGGGTATCCACATGGAAAAAAAAAAAAAATTGAACGCTTATCTTATGCCACACACAAAACTCTGTTAAAGACTTAAATATAAGACATGAAAGCACAAAACTCCTAAAAGAAAACGTAGGGATAAAGCTCCTAGACACTAGTATTAACAATGATTTTTTAAGATGTGTCCCCAAAAGCACAGGCAATGAAAGCAAAGATAAGCAAGTGAGATTACATCAAACTAAAAAGCTTCTGCATAGCAAAAGAAATGGCAAAAGGAAAAGGCTATCTATGAAGTGGGAGATATTTGCAAGCCATACATCTGAGAAAGAGTTAATATCCAAAATATATAAGGAACTCCTTCAACTGCATAGCAGAAAACCAAGCAACCCAATTTTTAAAATTGACAAAGGACCTGAATAAACATTTCTCCAAAAAAGACATACAGATGGGCAATAGGTATATGAAAAGATGCTCAACATCATTAAGCATCAAGGAAATGCAAATCAAAACCAGAGTGAGACATCACCTCACACCTGTTAGGATGGCTATTGTCAAAAACATAAAACAAGTGTTAGGAAAGATGTGGGAAAAAAGGAAATCCTTGTACACTGTTGGTGAGAATGTAAGTTGGTACAGACATTATGGAAAATAGAATGGGTGTTACCCAAAAAGTTAAAATATAACTACAATATGATTTAGCAACCCCAGTTTTGAGTGTTATATCCAGAGAAATTGAAATCAGGATCCCAAAGAGATATGTGCACTCCTATGTTCATTACAGCATTATTCATAATAGCCAAGAAATGGAAACACATTTTAGATTCCACATGTATGTAAAATAGTACAGTATTTATCTTTTTGGTCTGGCTTATTTCACTTAATATAATGCCCTAAAGGGCCATCCATGTTGTCACAAAGGCAGGATTTCCTTCTTTTCTAAGGTTAAATAATATTCTGTTGTATATATATATTCCATATTCCGCCACTATTCTGAAATAGAATCATAGAAGCAGAGTGTACAATGGTCATTGGGTGGGACTGGGGGGTGAGGGAAATAGGGACGAAATGGTTAAAAGGTACAAAGTTTCAGTTATGCATGATTAGTTGTGAAAATCTACTATACAACACAGTGCCTATATACATAACAATATTGTATTGTATACTTAAAATTTGCCAACCATAAGATTTATGGTTAGTGTTTTTACCAAAATGAAGATCGAAAACAATAGTAATAATAAAAGGAGTGGAAAGAAACTCTGGGAGATAATATTAATATCTATGCTTACAGCCTTGATGATAGTGATGCTGTCACAAGTGTATACTCATCCCCAAATTCATGAAGTATACATTAAACATATATAGCAGCTTTTTGTATGTCAATCATATCTCAAAAAATAAATTCAAAGTATTATAATAAAATTGAAAACCAAAAAATAAAGTAAAATAAAGCTTCCTGAAACCAGAAAGTTTTCTCTGAGGGGCTAGATCAGGATGAAAAAAAGAAAAACTTTACTTTCATATATACAGCTTTAACTATTTTCATGTACATACATTACTTTTAGAATAGCAAATTCTAGATGCACATACAAACAAGAAACAGTAGACCATATTGCTTAGATAAGAGAGGTGCAAAAATAGCAACTACATACCAATGATGACCAAAAAAGAGCTAACATTTTCAGAAAGCAGAAGCTCTTTTCCCAGAAAAGATCATTGAGATCAAGTAACAGGTTCTACCTGTGGAAAGACTTTAAATGAAACCAAGTAAGCAATCTTTTAATATTTTAGGTATATATCTGGGCAAAGGAGAGGCTGTGGGTAGACAATTTTGTGATTTCCTTAGAAACTCCAGGACACAGCATTCTTCTGAGTATTAACCTGACACCCCTCATGTTTAATAACATCTATCTAAATATGTTTCTAAATTTTTCTAGCATATTGATGGATGTCACATAAACACACATGCAGATAATAATGCTGTATTTGTGATGCCAGTTTTCTTTCATGAAGTTTAAATTACCTCACGAACATCACTTTAGTCCAATTTCTTATTCAAAAATTATACTTGGCCACGATATATTCTTTTTATGATTTTTCTCTTTTTCTGTCTTTTTTCTCTCCTCACCCCCTTTTGGGGTTTAAATACTCTTAGAAGTTGTAAGACAACAAATCTTGATTTTTTTGAAAAGGTCAAAATTTCCTAAGTAAAATCTATTATACCATTTATTGCCAAAATCAGAGAAGCCAATTAAACTGCAATTTTACTCCTGGCTTTAAGATGACAAAAACCGTAGCCAAGATTATATTTCAGCAATCTAAATTAATTTAGCTTTCAATGGTTGTTCAAAAGGAAAGTAAAGAGGACAATATTGATGACTTTACTGTGTTATCTTTGTAATTCACATCAGGTTACAATTGTTTTGTTTTTATATCACTAACAAGGAGCAATTTTTGTAGCATAATTAATGTTTATACTTATTTGTCTTGCTTTTTTAAAATTGCATAGACAAAAGGCAAGACTGATAATAGGCATACAGAGAAATTATATAACCAAAGATTTTGTGTCATGAGACATATCTACTTTATCTCCAAAGACATAAAGGAGTTACATGAAAAGCTTGCTCTCCACCTAATATTTGTTATGAAGATATCTTAGGATTGCACTTGACTACATAGAGGCTCAGAATAACAATGACAAGTATAATAATAGATAGCTTTAATTGAGAACCTGCTATATGCCCAGCACTGTGCTAAGCACTTTACATTCATAACTTACCAGTCCTCACAATCATCCTACATTAGACAAAAAGTGTTATTCCCCAATTGATGTACAAATAAATTGAAGCTTAGAGAAATTTTATAACTTACCCAAAGTTTCATAACTAGCATATGGCAAACACAGAACTTAAACCTGTATCTGCTTAACATCAAAGCCCAAGTCTTAACCACTTTTCTAAACATAAATAGCATATGAATGGCAATGTATGAATAGGAGAAGAGTGACTCTTATAATTATTTATCATCTATGATGTAGAATGGTCACTGGTCACTTTTCTCTGAACCCAAGACATGCAACGTAAGTTATTTTAAGGAATATTTATTGTATTCCTTCAAGACAGTACTCTTGGAGGTGCTAACGGAGACTATGAAGAGGGACAGGTAAAGCAGCTGATCTGAAAAGAGTTTTCAGTCAGTGAGGGAGAAAGCCATTCTAACACAGGTAGAATTAAATAAATCGAGAAAGAAGCATGAGTTCTCTGAATGCAGAGGCTTCATAGTAGACATTTAAGCTAGATCTAAAATGGCGAATGGTCACAGAGATGCAAATCAAAACCACAATGAGATACCATCTCACACCAGACACAATGGCTATTAAAAAGTCAAAAAGAAACAGATGTTGGAAAGGTTGCAGAGAAAAGGGAATGCTTATTCAGTGTTGGGGGTGGGGGATGTAAATTATTTCAGCCCCCATGGAAAGCAGTTTGAAGATTTCACAAAGAACTAAAAGTAAAACTGTCATTCGACCCAACAATCCCATTTACTGGGTATATACCCAAAGGAAAAGAAATCATTCTACCAAAAAGACACACACATTTGTATGTTTATCACAGCACTATTCACAATACCAAAGACATGGAATTAACCTAGGTGCCCGTCAATGGTGGATTGGATAAAGAAAATGTGGTACAGATACACCATGGAATACTACACAGCCATAAAAAAGAATGAAATCATGTTCTTTGCAGCAACATGGATGCAGCTGGAGACCATTATCCTAAGTAAATTAACACAAAAAACAGAAAACCAAACATCACATGTTCTGTTATAAGTGGGAGCTAAACAATGGGTACACATGGACATAAAGATGGGAATACCAGACACTGGTGACTACCAGAGAGGGGAGAAAGGGAGGTAGGCAAAGGCTGAAAAACTACCTATTGGGTATTATGTTCGCTTTTTGGGTGACAAGTTTAATAGAACCCCAAACCTCAGTGCATAAAGACTTCCTCATTTGCACTGCCCTTCCTCTTAAGTAAAATATTATTAATACATAAATAAATAAATAAATAAATAAATAAAGTGGCAAATGGGATTTCTTAATGGGAATAATCAAGAAAAGGAACACAGACTTACAGCAGAGCATGATTAAAGACACAGAGAAAAGAGGCCCAGGGAGTGTCCAATGGGAACAAATAGTCTAACAGGGCTGGCTGTGTCAAGACTGCAGAGGCAAATGAACCTAGAAAAATATCTGGGGGCCAGATTTCAGCAGAACGTCTAGGCCTTTATTAAAATAATTGGAAATTTTTTCTGGAAATAAATGATTATGTTTCTTCTGGAAGTAAGTGATTATGGAAATGATAATTATGTTGAGGAGGAGTTTGCAAAAGAGGGAAATAAACTGATGACACCAGAGACACAAGGCAAGAAGCCATTTCAGTTATTACAATAGCCAACATGGAAAACAATGAGAGTCTGAACAGAGCAGTGACAGAGAAACAGTAGGGAGGAGAAAAACAAGAAGACAGCTAGTGAGATGTGACCTAAGAAGCAGAAGATAGCTTCTTAGATAAATCGAAACTAAAATGATGAAAGCAGGAGAAGAAATGGTAGAACAGATTTAGTTTGTGACATAATATTCTTGAGGTGCCTAGGGGAAAACCTACGCAAATATGTCCAGGAGCTGTTGGAAATTCAAGCCTGGGAAATGGGATAAAGGTCAGTGTTAGAGGCATATGTTAAGGCATCATGATAAGCATAAAGATGATAAGGGAGGCTGCCAGGTAGAGTGTGAGTAAGAAGAGAAAAACAGCAGCATTCTAGTGAACATCCATTCTTAAGGAGAAGACCAAGGAAGAAGAGCTGCTAAAGAAAACAGTGCAGTAGACAAACATTAGACTTTTTCTAAAGAAGGGGGAGTATTTTTAAGAAGTAGTGAGTGATCAGCACCATATGCTCTTGGGAGATTAATAAAAATGGGACTGAGCTGAGGCTCAGAGCCGATATCCCTGTATTCTTTATGCAGTTTTTTGTGCTGGTTTTCCTGTGCAGGCACCACGTGCTTCTTCCTTGTTGCCTGTAGGTATCCTCAGAAGAGAGGTACAGTTTCGCTATGCAATAGATATGTGTTCATATGGTGATGATAATTATGTTGATTGACTGCATGAGAAGCATTAAATCCAGGAACTGCTTCGATTTATGTCTCAGGAGTTTGGGAACAGATTAACGTTTTTCCCCAGTTGGATCTTTGTTCCCACACAACTCATCATCAGGTGTCACTGAAAAGCAATTTCAGTTTCTCACCTGATTTTGGCATGTATTATAATGAAGCAGATTATTTGTGCTTCTAACTTGGAAAAGAAATGATTCCTTCTTATAGTAAAACAGCCATATACCATTTTGGCTTTACTCTAAATCAGTCATTAATTTGCTAACAAGCATTTATCATGCTCATGATGTGTACAAGATTGTGGTACAGTCTTAAGCTGAACAAATTCCCTGCCTACACAGAGCTTACATTCTACTGGCAGGAACAAATAATAAATGGATGAATGATGTTCAATCTCAAATTCTCTGTCTAAGTGCTCTAATGAAAACACCAAAGCAGATAGTGTGATCTACAAGGCAGGGCCTCTGAGAAGACATTTGAGCTAAGACTGAAATAAAGGGGGAAAGCCAATATGGGAATGGGAAAGGGGCATTCTTGGTAGAAAGAACAACCAATGCAAAGCTCTGAGGCTTAGCATGGGATCTTGGCATGTTGAAAGAACAGCAAGTAACTCTACAGCTTTAAAAATAAATTTAAAAGATGTGAAAAACTCAGAACATATTACTTCACAAAGTGCATCACTAAAACCATTTCTTCGAACTTTGCTTTCTAGTATTTCCCTAGCTCTTTTATTTCACATGATGTGAAATTCCTCAGATTTTCTTCCTCAATAGAAATTCTGAAAAACAGGGATTTTTAGTGGCCCCTCATATTTACTTTGTTTACCTGAATAAAGCAGGGGGAAGACCCAGAAATCTTCTCTTTGGGCACCAGATACCAGATGATTGACTTGCTTCAGTATTAAAGTTTGGTGAAGAACTATTATCATTTCCCAATTTAAGTGTTCATCGACATCAACACTGTGTATATATATCAAGAAAATATGGTGTATGTATACACAATGGAATACTTTTCAACCTAACAAAAGAAGGAAATTCTGTCATTTGCAATAACAGGAATGAATCTGGAGGACATTATGTTAAGTGAAATAAGGCAGACACAGAACGACAAATACCACATGATCTCACTTATATGTAGAATCTTAAAAAGTCAAAATCAGCCAGGTGCAGCGGCTCATGCCTGTGATCTGAGCACTTTGGGAGGCTGAGGTGGGTGGATCACCTGAGGTCAGGAGTTCAAAACCAGCCTGGCCAACATGGCAAAACCCTGTCTCTACTAAAAATACAAAAATTAGTCAGTTGTGATGGCTCACACATGTAATCCCAGCTACTCAGAGACTGAGACAAAAAAAAAAAGTCAAACTCATAAAAGTAGAGTAGAATGATGGTTACCAGAGGCTGAGCTGTGGGGAGGGGGGAATGGAGAATTGTTGGTCAAAGGGTAAAAAGTTTCGCTTTGTACAAGAGGAATAAGTTTTGATATCTATTGCTCAGCAGTGTGATTATAGTCAATAATAATATGTCATAATTTCAAAATTACTTGGCAAATTTCAAATATTTCATCACAAACAATAAGTGACTGAGGTGATTAATATGTTAATTAAATTTAACCATTCCACATTGTATGCATATGTCAAAACATTTCATTGTGCCCCATAAATGTATACAATTATGATTTACCCATAAAAATATTAATAAATTTTTTAAAGAACTATTACTGTTTCCTTTGAAATGATATGCTTGACAAAAGATGCCACAGAGGGAGAGGCAGTGTTCACTTATGGCCTTTTGAGACCTCAGCCTGCTTTTGCACAGCCCTTACACCTAATTTCTCTGGCATTGGGTCATGGGTTCTCAGCCACACGTGTTGTATATTTATGACTGTCTAGAGAACAGCTAACCATTGACCATTTCAGGTTTCCTCAGTGGTTCCATTTGAGGAACTGCTGACAGATGGGAATGAATAATTTAGCAGCACATGTGGTTAAAGTATAATTTGCTAGAGAAAGAGATAAACCCAGAAGATATTCTATTTCTGAATACAGATATTGTGTGATTTACATTTCTTAAGGTATACAAAACTTGCTATATACATTGCTTAGAGATCCAGGAGAAATTATTAACTATTAAAATGAGGTGGTCATTAGGAATTAAAATTTACATTTCCTGATTTTCCCATTACCATCCTAAGAGAAAATACATAAATTTACTCTTCAAAAGTTAAAAACAAATAACATTTCTTGTGCAGCTATCAGGTATGTACCTTCAATAGACAACTGAATTATTAAAATAAGGAAAGGCAGCATGCCATATTGGTAGAGCTCATAGCCAACTTTACTGCCTTATAGGAGATTATCTATCTATCTATATATCCATCTATCTATCTGTCTATCTATCTATCTCTATGTATCTATTTCAGACTCAAGGAATAGAAGATCTATAGCCAGTTCTGTAGATTTAATGTCATGAAAAGCCATTTGTGATGTAATTAAAATGTATCTTTTCCCATTGGAAAAGAATTATAAATATTATATAAGTATTAAAAATACTAAATATACTAAGCACTAAAATATCAAAACTTGTATTCTACAAAAGACGCACAAAGGAAACAGCAGTCGTTTTTTAGCTCTTCTTGGAAGCATAATTTCACCTAATACTAGACATGACATGTAGTTTAACTCATCACTTTTTTATATAAGGATCTGCTCACTGTTAAAGAATGAAGATGGGTAGAAGACCTCAGAGGTCTTTAATTAACCCCTTGATAATATGAAGTATGACAAGACAGCCCACACACTACACATAGAAGGAGAAAACTAGGTACAAGTTCTATTATTTAATATGGCCACCCATTGGCATCTTCTGACTATATTAGCATATCTATTTCCATAAGAGATAGAGAGGTGGGCCAGCCAGATCTTCTATTTCCTTTCACTTTCTTCTGGAATGAAATAGACATTCAACACATTTGCTGACCAACTGTCATTCCATGTTGCATCAGCAGGAGTAAATGGGCCACTTGGGTGTGTTCACACACTGCAGCTATCAGCCATAACCTCACTGAATTAATATGCTTACGTAACTTTTTGTGTTCAATATTATGACCCACTTTACTCCTGTAGTATAAAATTGATTCTTTGCAAATCTAAAAGGAATGCCCTTCAGACCAAAGTTGAAGAAAGGAAGGTTATTTGCTAAGATTGATCCTCCAAGCTCAAAGTCTCCAAAGAATATGGGTATTCTTTGCCCCATGTACTATGTCTAACTAGAATACATCTTGAAATATTCAAAATTTAGGATAGTCCAAGCTCTTTGGAGTTTTATAACATTTCACAAGACAGAGCAGAGTCATCTATAAGAAAAAGTCAACACATATCAAGCCTGTTTTACAAACTAGAGTTCTGGGATAATAAAAAGAAGTGAGGAGTGTTGACAAGAGATTTATTTTTCAGACATATAAAACCTGAATATCTGATTCTCAGCAAAAACAATGCATAGGAAACTTTATAATTAATCAAATTCACAAAGAAGTAGAAATACATTTAATGACCTCTAAAAGTAAATATTTCAACATAGAAAATGGGTAACTGGAAAATAAATCACTTAAAGTTATTCTTATGAAGTTTTGGTCTATAGTTTCCTATGTCTTATTAAATCAAAACCAAGAAAGACTATAGGAAGGTTACAATAAATTATGCATTTTGAACATAGCAAAATCTACTAGTCTAGGCTAAGTACACAATGGATAAATTATAATTTTTAAAAGCCAGAGGTACAAAATTAATTATCTCTTTTTTAAACAATGATCAGGAACTAATAAGCATTATTTCAAAGAATGAGTCTAAAATGAATTACAAACCCTTTTAAAAATGAAGATCTTCTGGGGATATATATTTCATAATCAATGTTGTGCTACTGGGATAGGTATTTTTCATATAATTTTAATGTAAGTAATTCAGTAAGTTGACCAACTGTTCCAGTTTGCATGCAACTATCCCTTGTCCCAGGAAATCCCTCAGTCATGGGCAAAAAAGGATGATTGTTTACCTATAGCTAAAACCTATACCACAGAATCCCAACATGATCTCAACAATAGCTTTTATAAGACTCCATCAAAAATTTAAAAAGCCATATTTGATGCCTGCATCATTCTTATGGAAAATATGAAGGGTATATCTGTGATTGAATAATAGAACCAATTTGAATTGACAGGAGTTTAAAGTAAACTTGGAGAATAAGAGGAGAGATAATGCACACTAAGAAAAATGAATTTCCACAGAAAGAAACATACTTTCCATCAGTGTTCATAAACTATACTTTAAACTGAAAAATGTCAGTCTCAAATTCTTTAGCATAAGACTCACTAGCATTAATAATATGAAAAGAGCAATGAAAGCATAGAGATTTCCATAGAAATATCAAATTTTCCTGCATCATGTTGATTTATTGAAATGCTTAACAATGGACATGTAAAATATACTCTTGCCACAGGCTATTCCCTAAAGGGAATTACTGAGCGATCAAGGTTATTCATTTTAAGTGAATTTGACAATAATAAACTGTTTAGTAGTTTTATGGTTAACATAGACAATGATTTCCAGAGAATTTTTGGACACCCATCTAACAGGCATAGCCAATTTTTTGAGAAGTCTAAATAATGTTCAACTCCTTCAGTACCTGATGCCAGTGAATCTATTATTTTTCAGTTTAAAGCTTTTGTTGTATCTGCTTTTCATTTAAGCTCAGGAGAAAACATTTTGTTTTTGGAATTGTTTCTTGGAAAAGGGCGTAAGCTGTTCCCTGGCCCATTCAGTACATTACCACAATCTAAGGGCTTTATTTCCTTTCCTTGATACAGCACTATATATTGCTGCCTAAAAATACTGACACGCGTGTCCTTGTCAATTGGCAATAAAAGCATCTCATCCTGCAGTGATGAAAGATAGACGTTTGAAAGAAAGCAATCTAATCTAATTTCACCACTAACACTTAAAGAGGGTCTAAATAAATTTGACAATACATCCAATATACATAGTACATTAACAGGGAGAATACTCAGTATCACAGGACACATTTTATCCAAGTACTTTTCAAAATGAGAAGTTTATGCCAATGAAAGTAATGAATGCTTTCTTGTATAGAACCAAAGGGAAATCAGGGGTTGATGTGAAGGACACTTACTCAAACACTAGTCTGGTTTTGATTATTAATGTGTTGCTCATTCTAAGACAAACAGACATGGCAAAATTCAGAAAGGAAAATAAGGACTTACAAATTTGAATCCTGTTTTTCCCAGTTAGTCCAAGAGATTACTCATTACATGGTTTTTAACTATCTTTTTTTGGTATTTCTGGAGTTCTTTATATCCTCCTTTCAAATATTTGCTGAATGCATTTTCATATGGTTACCTGGTATACCCAAGGAAACAGACTAGCTCTGAGAGCTAAGCAAGGCTAAGCACAAAAAATTTATTGAGTTTCAAATTTCCTGTGTTCCAAGGAGAAGAGATACATGATTCAGCTTTATCACCTATGCATAATACAAAGTCTGTGCCAAGGCCTAACAATTGTGAAAAAATATGTGTTAAATACAGTCTATTGAATACTGCTTCATTCTAGTAGTAGTACAAATATCTCACATTATAGGTTTACCAAGTAGTGTAAATATCTTACATCACATGTACACCATTTCATTTGATTATCACAAAACTCTTTGAAATAAAAAATCATTCTCCTTATTTTGTAATTGAAGAAATAAGGTTCACAGCTCCTATAATAACATTTATTCCACCAAGCTATCTCTTTAATAAGAACAGCATATAATTATTAAGTGCCTACTATGTCATAGGCACTGTGACAGAGAGCTGGGAACACAGTGGTGAATAAGAAAATTTCAGACCCTGCCCTCAAGAGTTTTACTAATAATTATTGCTTAATAACTTGCACAGTATGTGGTAATTAAGTTCTTTGACTAGATAGAAAACTTACCAACTAGACTGAAAAATATAATGCCAGAAAATCATTAATATTAGAGATGTTTCAATACAACTACTTGGAAATGACTAAATAGTGAAATTAAGGCAGAAATCAAAAAATTTTTTGAAATAAATGAAAACAGAGACAGAATATACCAAAAACTCTGGGATACAGCAAAGACAATGCTAAGGAGAAAGTTTATAGCACTAAATGCCAACCCCAAAAAGTTGGAAAGATCTCAAATTGACATTCTAACATCAAACCTAGAACTAGAAAAACAAGAACAAACTAACCCCAAAGCTAGCAGAAGGAAAGACATAACTAAAATCAGAGCAGAGCTGAATGAAATCGAGACCCAAAAATCCACACAATCAATGAAACTAAACTTTGGTTCTTCGAAAGAATAAACAAAATCAATAGACTACCAGATAGATTGACAAAGAAAAAGAGAGAAGATCCAAATAAGCACAATCAGAAATGACAAAGATGACATTACAACCAATCCCACAGAAATACAAAAGCTCCTCAGAGACTCTAATGAACACCTCTATGCACACAAACTAGAAAGTCTAGAGGAAATGAATAAATTCCTAGAAATACATAATCTCCCAAGATTGAATCAGGAAGAAGTTGAAACCCCAAACAGACTGAAATCGAGTTCCAAAACTGAATAAGCAATAAAAAACCTACCAATCAAAAAAAAAAAAAAAAGCCCTGGACCAGATAGATACAGCCAAATTCTACCAGACACACAAAGAAAAACTGTTACCAATACTACTGAAACTATTCCCAGAAACTGAAGATGAGGGATTCCTCCTTAACTCATTCTATGAAGCCAGCATCACCTTGATACTAAAACCTGGCAAAGACACGATGATAAAAGAAAACTATAGACCAATATCCTTGATTAACATAGGCCAAAAAAAAATCCTCAATGAAATAATAACAAAATCCAGCAGCACATCAAAAAGTTACCTCACCATGATCAAGTAGGCTTCATTCTTGGGGTGCAAGGCTGGTTCAACACATGCATATCAATAAATATGATTCACCACATAAACAGAATTAAAAACAAAAACCATATGATCATCTCAACAGATGCAGAAAAAGCTTTTGGTAAAATCCAACATTGCTTCATGATTTTAAAAAACCCTCAAGAAACTAGGCATTAAAGGAATATACCTTAAAATAATAAAAGCTACCTATGACAAACCCACAACAAACATCATTCTGAATAAGTAAAAACTGGCAGCATTTCCTGAAACCTGGAAAAAGACAAGGATGTCTGCTCTCACCACACCTATTCAGCATAGTACTGGAAGTGCTAGCAAGAGAAACTAGGCAAGAGAAAGAAATAAAAGGCATTTAGATAGGAAAAACAAGAGTCAAACTGTCTCTCTTCATTGATAATATGTTTCTATACTTAGAAAACCCTAAAGACTCTGCCAAAAGGCCTCTGGAACTGTTAAACAATTTCAGTAACATTTCAAGATACAAAATCAGTGTGCAAAAATCAGTAGCATTTCCATACACCCATAATGTTCAAGTTGAGAGCCAAATCAAGAATGCAATCCCGTTTACAATAGCTTCCAAAAAAAATAAAATGTGAGGAATACAGGCAAATAAGGAGGTGAAAGATCTCTATAAAGAGAATTATAAAACACTGCTGAAAGTCATCATAGATGACACAAACAAATGGAAAAACATTCCATGCCCATGGATGGATTGGAAGAATCAATATTGCTAAAATGGCCATACTGCCAAAAACAATCTACAGATTTCTATCAAGCTATCAACATTACTTTTCACAGAACTAGATAAAATTATTCTAAAATTCATATAAACCAAAAAAAGAGCCTGAACAGCCAAAGTAACCCTAAACAAAAAGAACAAAGCTGGAGGCATCACATTACCTGACTTAAAATTATATGTAAGGCTACAATAACCAAAACAGCATGGTATTGGTACAAAAACAGACACATAGATCAATGGAATAGAACAGAAAACACAGAAATAAAGCCACACACCTACAACCAACTGATCTTTGACAAACTCTACAAAAAATAAGCAATGGGAAAGTAACTCTCCATTCAATAAGTGGTTCTGGGACAGCTGGCTAGTTATATGCAGAAGAATAAAACTGAACTCCTATATTTTGTCATATAATAAAATTCACTCAAGATGGATTACAGATTTAAATGTAAAACCTCAAACTTTAAGAATTCTAGAAGAAAAGCTATAAAACCCCACTCTGAACATCAGCCTTGGGACATAATTTATGACTAATAAGTTGCAATTGCAACAAAAATAAAAATTGACAAGTGGGACCTAATTAAACTAAAGAGCTCTACACAGCAAAAGAAATTATCAACAGAGTAAACAGACAACCTACAGAAATAGAGAAAATATTCACAAACTATGCATTCAACAAAGACCTAATTTCTAACATCTATAAGGAACTTAAACAAATAACAAGCAAAAAACAAATAATCCCATTAAAAATGGGCAAAAGACATGAACAGACACTTCTTAAAAGAACATACACAAGCAGCCAAGAAATATATGAAAAAATGCTCCACATCACTAATTATCAGAGAAATGCAAATCAAAATCACAATGAGACACCATTTCACATCAGTCAGAATGGCTAATATTAAAAAGTCATAGAACAACAGATGATTGCAATGCTGTGGGAAAAAGGGAACACTTATACTCTGTTGGTGGTAAGATAAATTAGTTCAGCCACTGTGGAAAGCAGTCTGAAGATTTCTCAAAGAACTTAAAATGAATCTACCATTTGGGTCAGCAATCCCATTACTGGTTGTATGTCCGAAAGAAAATAAATTGTTCCACCGAAAAGACACATCCACTCAAATGTTAATCACAGTACTATTCACAATAACAAAGACATGAAATCAACCCAGGTACCCATCAACAGTAGACTGAATAAAGAAAATGTGGTACACATACACCATGGAATACTATGGAGCCGTAAAAAGAATGAAATCCTGTCCTTTGAAGCAACATGGATGCAGCTGGAGGCCATTATCCTAAGAGCAAATTAATGCAGGAAAATAATTTCTATGCAGTGAATTAACCCAGGAACAGAAAATCAAATACCATATGTTCTCACTTATAAGTGGGAGCTAAACAGCGGATTCTCGGGCATAAAGTTGGGAAGAATAGACACTGAGGACTACTAGAGCGGGAAGAGAAGGAGGAGGGCAAGGGGTGAAAAGCTATTGGATACTATGCTCAGTACCTGAGTGACAGATACAATTGTACCCCAAACCTCAGCATCATGCAATATACCCAGGTAACAAACCTGCACATAATACCCCCCGGATCTAAAATAAAATTTGAAATTGTTTTTTAAAAAGGATTACAGAGGTTTATTTGTAAGTATAATTTCAAATGTATTTATAAGATTTGATTAATAATATGGCCCCATACAAACTAACACATTTTTACAAGACTCAGGGTCTTTAAAGAAAGTCTGAAGCATAACCAATGTCATAGAGCACTATTAAAGCTGCATATGACACTTTTAAGAGATTCACTATGCATACTAGAATGGCTGCAAGAAGACGTAGATCGAGAAACTTGCTCAACTGTTTCCAAAACTTCTTACAGAATGGAAAGCTTTATTCAATATAACACTTATTAACTCTGAGAAATGCTAGTTAAGAAGACAGGTTTTAGAATTAGAAAGACAAAGCTTGAATCTCAATTCTGCCAGTGTATTAGTTAAAGTAACATAATCTATTTGCAACACATTAATCCCAAAATTTCAGTGGCTTAACACAGTGTAAGTTTATCTCTCACTCATGTAAAGTCAATCAGTAGACTAAAGAAAGTGGAAAAGAAAAGGCAGCTCTGTTCCACACAGTCATTCATAAATCACATTGCAGAAGTCCAGCCATCTTCAACGTGTGGTTCCCAGGATTGTCCTGGAAGTTGGTATCCAGCTGGCAGACTGAGAAAAAGAAAGAGTGGAGAAAAGCAATAATTTTTATGGGTCCAGTTATCCATTCATATTCCATTGTCAGAACTCGTTCTCATGCCAAACCTAACTTCAGGGGAAGTTGGAGAATGTAGACCAACTGTGACTAGCATAAAATAAAAACTGATTTTCTCAGTAATTAGCCATTGTATGTCACAACTAGTGTCTAGATGAGTAACACAGAAGAAATTATTTAACCTCCTCAGTTGCCTTTCTGAAATACAGATATGATATTTCATTGGATTCAAATCACTATCATTTTTTTCTTCAACTTTTATTTTAAGTTCTGGGGTACATGTATGTGCAGGATGTGCAAGTTTGTTTCATAGGTAAACGTGTGTCATGGTGGTTTGCTGCACAGATCAACCATCACCTAGGTATTAAGTCCAGTATCCATTAGCCATTCTTCCTGATGCTCTCCCTCTCCCCACCCCACCAAGAGGCCCCAGTGTATGTTGCTCCCCCACCCATGTGTCCATGTGTTTTCATCGTTGAGCTCCCATTTATAAATGAGAATATTCAGTATTCGGTTCTCTGTTTTTGCGTTAGTCTGCTGAGGGTAATGGCTTCCAACTCCATCCATAACCCCGCAAAGAACATGATCTCGTGCTTTTTTATGGCTGCATAATATTCCATGGCAAATCACCACCATGTTTAAGCTGCACTACTACTTTATGTGCCACTAAGAAGGAAAGTCATGCTGCCAATTAAACTAGACACATATCAATTTCAAGAGACATCCCGACTTAGTGATGTTAAAGTATGTGGAAGAAGGGAATATGTGACAGGTTTTATGCAATATGGTAATAATAGCTGTCCCCTTGGATTACTGGAGGACTAAATAATAAGTCATGTTGCAGGATCACCACACGATCTAACTTATCAGCCAACTAAAAATATAATGACACACCAATCAAAACCATACAAAACCTATACAAAAACAAAGCTTGGTTTGGAAATACAGAGCAGGTATTGAGACATTCTCATAACTGGCAAGTAGAATCAAGACAGGTCAAACCCTGAATGCCACCTACCCCCTTTCCTATCATTTCTGTAACATCACTCCCTCTGGAACCACCAGGACTTGGAGAGCAGAAAGGAAATGGCTGACTATAGTAGACATCAGTTCTCCTTCTTAATGTTTGCTTCACCGATGTTCCCTGGTATTGACATGGATCTTCCAATGACCTATTTGAATGGTGACAAGCACCTCTGCTTGATTATGCCATATTTATACTTAGAGACAGAGCAAAGCAATGATCAAGAGAGGTTGCCTCTCAAATCAAATTACCTGGATTTGAATGATTGGACCTCCAGATTACCTAACTTACCTAAGTCTCTCATCCATAAGATGAGAATAATGATAGTGCCCCTCCCTAGGTGCTGTTGTAAGGGTTAAAAGAAAAACTATATGAAGTCCTTAGCACCACACATGATTTACAGTAAGTGCTTAATAAGCATAGCAATTATTAGGACCAACGCCTCCTGCCCTACCTGCCTGTGGCTTTAGGTTCCATGATTGTAAGCCACTGCCCAGCAGGAACCACACAGACTTACCAGGAGCCACAGAAAATTGAATCTCCTCCACATCCTTCCCTGTTTTTTCTCCTTAAACACTGCTCTTCCCCCTAAGTGCTACTGTTTCTCAGTAGTACTGGATCCACCATTACTAGGAAAGAGATCCTCTGTTTCTGCATTTTTGTCTCACTGGCATCTTAAAACTCATGACAATATTGTCTCCTTAGCCCAAAGTAAAGACGTTGAAAATAACTTTTTTTTTTTTTGAGACAAGGTCTCTCTCTATCACCCAGGCCAGAGTGCAGTGGCTCAATCTCAGCTCACCACAATCTCCACCTCCTGGGCTCAAGCGATCCTCCCACCTCAGCCTCCCAGCGAGCTGGGACCACAGGCATATGCCACCATGCCCAGCTAATTTTTAGTATTTTTTTGTAGAGATGGAGTACGCCATGTTGCCCAGGCTGGTCTGGAACTCCTGGACTCAAGTGATTCACCCACCTCGGCCTCCTAGAGTGCTAGAAAATAACCATTAAGTAAAAATAATGAAAAATAAGAAAAATATCCCAGAGATGGTGGATCAGGCACTAGAATATTTGTTTTTGTTTATTTTTCTGTTTCCCATTTTAAAATCATTACTGACATCATTTATAAACCAAGGAGATACAGATAAACATAGAAATATAGAGATAGACATAGATATATAGATATGGACACATAGATATAGATAATGTTATGCAAGGTTCTAAGTAGTCATTCAACTTAAAAATACTATAACCATGGATTTACATGTACTTTCCATATGCATAAAGCAGTAACTGTCTAGTGATCAGTGGATGGAATTTAGCAGAAACACATGGGAATGTATTTCTACTACTGACCAATGTCAACAGATGCATCATTTCACAGGATATGAAAAGGTTAGCAAAACCAGGTCTGAGTTTCCTGGGAAAACAAATTCTGTCCTATAATCACTGAGGATATGAATTAGAAGTTTACTAATTAGTTTATTGGTGCTTTCCTTAGTAATTAACCTCTAAATGAACCAGCCTACCTATGAATCCATTGAAGGTGCAAATCCTGCTTCAGGTAAAGGGAAATACCACCTGAAGGCAGGAGATCATTACTAATTTATATTCATTTTAATGGGCTAGCATTTAGTCTCATCTGGCACAACCAACATAATGCTGCAAATAGGCAGTTACATCCCCAAATGAGCTATCTGGATATCTTTTCTCCATAGAGCACATTCACAAAATACTTCACTACTAGTGAACCTACCACCAAAAAAGTATTTCTTTAAAACAGAGTACTGTTCTATTACAAACATTCTATCTCAATTTTTCTGATGATTAAAGGGGATTTTAATTATACAATCAATGGGAAAATAGATAGAAACCATCTGGACATTCCTCTGTTTTCTGCCAAAGAATTTTCTTTTGTTTTACATATCAATGACTTAAGCTAACAACGGAATTTCAGTGCCAGTCATTTGTCCTTGGCAGAGCTGGATCTTTTTTATGTTATGAAAGATCTTTTAAATTTACTGATTAAGAGTCAAATTATCCCACATGGCCAGATAATTAACCTCAACATTTTCCTACACATAAAACTAAGAACAAAGAGTATTTTTTAATTACTTGATCTTTAAAGCATACAAACTTTGAATCTTTTTGTGCTTTAATGTTTTTACTAATCAGGGTGGTCAAAACTCAAAAACACTTTCTCTTTTTTAGGCACTGATGGAAAATGCTTAACCAATAAGGTACTGAAAAAATACTATTGGTTTGCAACAAAATAAAAGAATGGAGAAGAAGATGGCACTTTTTAAAAACCAAGAAAGCCTTCTAGAAGTTATATTGCTATAATATTAGGAGGCCAGTCTGTATGAATTAAACCTTTGGAAACTTTAGTAGAGAAGGATCCATGAGAATGACTGTCCACGAGTAAAGCTCAGAGTGTGCGGAGCAAGGGTGAACTACCTAAGAAAGCAAAATCAAATATTAAGACAAATACTGAGGGTCAGAAACAAATCTTCACTTCTACCATTTGTCCTAGAATGGAAGGAAAGAGTGGTATATTAGTCATGTACTTTGCCCAGTGCTTTACCACATTTCTCTGTTGAACATCATGACTTTGACTTTGAGCGGTGAATTTTGTTTCTTAAATGCATACTTTTTAAGGAAATATAAAACATAGGAAAATCACCTTCTGTGAAGGCAAGGAAGCAATATGATTTTTTCAACATTCTTTAGAGGTATCCTTATAATAGCAAGATTTGTCAATGTGACAGATTACCATAGAAAATCAGTAGCTTCCAGGATGTGGAAATTTAGTGGCTGAAAAAAAACTAATGAATTACATTACTATTTACAATAGGGGAAAAAGTGACTCATATGGAAATTTGATTCACAGTAATATATTTTAGAGATGATATGTGGGACTGACACACAAAAATTTTTCAGAAATGTCTTAAAGATTTCAGTGGAAGTAAGGAAAGAACTGGAAATTGGTTTAAATTCATTAAACTGCCAACAACTCTGTAGGATACAGAGAAAGAATTCGACCAAGAAACATTTTCCTCTTTTGGCACTTTTAAAAGAAAAGAAGAAGACAAAGAAGGAGGAAGAGGAGGAAGAGGAAGGAGGAAAGAAAAGAAGAGGAAGAAGAAGGAGGAGGAGGAGGAGGAGGAGGAGGAGAAGAAGAAGAAGAAGAAGAGGAAGAGGAAGAGGAAGAGGAAGAAGAAGAAGAAGAAGAAGAAGAAGAAGAAGAAGAAGAAGAAGAAGAAGAAGAAGAAGAAGAAGAAGAAGAAGAAGAAGAAATGTCATCAATTTGGGCTGGGAACTATTGTCAAAACTCACAGGGGAAAAAAAATCCAACAGGGAAGATACTTGTTATCTGTTACTAAGTTGACATCACTTTGTTATCCTCATTAAAACAAAAAACAAAAAATCTCTTCCCAATTTACTGTAATCAAATGAGCCTCTTTGATTGTGTTCTTGCTTTTAAGAATTACCAAGTCACTAGAAAATGTTGAGGGGATAGAACTTGATGACCCATTATGTGGAGTCCTGAAAAACTGATCCCCATCTGAAGATATGTTTTTATTATATTGTAAGGATTTTTAATAAAGAGTTTCAAAATGAAATTAGCAAGCTGCCTATGAACATGACAGAATTATTTTGTCTTCACCTTTATATTTATAGATCCTTGATGATTGCCAGATTTTAAGTTGTGTAACTCCCTGCAAATTAAACACAATATATTAAAGGGATAATATAGATATTTTAAAATAAAATAAACACATTTCCAAAAAGCTGTGTAGCATAGCATATTTTAGAGATATCTACTGAAGGAATACTAGAAATAGCAACATTAGAAACTATAAGAAGAATAGATTTGGTGGAGGCAGTGAAGAGATGTAAGCATATGTGCAGGGGTACATAAACTGCTTTGCCTTCCACACCTGGTCCTGGACCTTGTCAGTTTGGGCAAGTTACTCTATAAACTTCACTTTCCTCCTATTTCTTAGAACTGTTTTAAGGGTTAAATAAGATTATGTATGTGACATACCTACCACAGTGCCAGGTACACAATAAACCCTCAGCAAATGTGAATCCTCAGTCCCCTATATTGAAGGACTGGGGTAGGAGAAGGAAGAAACAAAAGGAAGAGACAGTTAAGGATGCAAATGGATAATCTTAGCTAGCTATATCTAGGACAATAAAGATTTGGAGGATGCTGAGTTGTGCTGTCCAGAGCTCCACTTCACTCCCGCAGACACCAAGGGTGTTGCCTGCTAACAGCTCACAGCTGAATCTCTTTCAGGGAATGGTCCTTGGCAAAATGAGGGTGTCTCTATCAAACTCGTGTCCCTTCCCCAGAGACAGCTGCAATTCAGGACACTTCTGAAATGCAAATTCCAGCCTCGGAATGACCTGTGGGATCAACTGAGACTTATATTGCAAATGCATCCCAGGTCATCTTCTCCCACCATCCACCCCACTTCCCTCGTCCTTTATAGGTGTTCCTGAGAGCACTCCCCAGTAAATGTGCTGCACCGTAATTCCCATCTCACAGTCTGTTTCCCTGGACAAAAGATAATACTGGGGGCAGAAGTGGGGAAGGAATTAATTTAACTGTGAGAAGCGGGGTTTTTTCTAGTTTACATGTAATTAGTATTATAATTATACTAGGCTGTTTGGATAGTTTTTCTTTTCAGAGATTATTTGACAGATTAAAAAAAACTGAGTGATTTGCCTAATGTCACAGAGCCAACAATTGCAAAGCTGAGATTTCAGCCGAAGGCTATTGAACCTGGGCTTCTTCCACTACATTATACTGTCTCCCAACCACATCACTTTAAAGCAGAGACATGTCAAACGCAGTAGGAAGAAGGGTAAAAGGCACAGTGGCTCTGGCTGACTTCCCAATCACCCATTTCAACTTTGGTTAATATGGCTCAGCCTCCACTTTCACTTTCTTGGGGCCTGAAGTTTTGAGTTCTTCTTCAAGGCTGTTTCTCAATCTCATAATCTCAAGTATTTTAGCAACTGGATATTCTTTATCTGTGTTTCCTTCTTTTTGTCTAAACATCCTATTTTAAAGGAAGGCAATATTTTATAATTAAATAAATAAATAAATAAAAGGGCATGGACCTTAGAGGTCTAAAGACTGAATTTTAATCCCAACCCTGCAATTTACTTGCCCTGTGGTCTCAGACAAATTGTTTATCCTCTTGCAATTATTCATCTCTGAGGTGGAGTAACAATAGCCATCTCATGTGGTTGTTGTGAGGTTCACATGAAATAACCTACTTATGAAGCACATAACACAATAAGTATTCCATCATGCTCAACTATACATCCTCATTCTTTTTTTTAATAGAAAGCTCCCTAATGATACCACTCACCCAACTCCACTGTCATCAAATCAAATTGTAGTGACTAAGTGAATAATTTGCCTCTCCCCAACCTATGTCATATCACCTTTATATATATATTTATTTGAATTCACAATACACATATATATTACAATAGCAATCCTTAGTTTCTCCTGGTCTTTATCATCATGTCTCTTATCTGGTCCTGGATGTAACATAAAAGGCATCTTAAATAGTTATGACATAGGAGTCCACACTCTCCTAGGAAGATGAGGGCTTTCCATTTCCTTTTCGTTTATCTCTGATACTCAGGACAAAGCAGCCTACCATACCAGGGAATCTGACGCTTTAGAGAAACAGAAATTATCCCTGCATGGAAAATCAGTCTGGATTCCCCTGAATTAAATATTTTAAATCTCATATTGAGATTTAAATCCATAAACTCTGATTTCTGGCAAGGATCACACCCCTCATTTCACAATCACTATGTAAGAAAATGTTTGCCACATTTTATTTCAGACTTTGAATTATAATACCTATAATTTATTTAATAGTAAGTACAAGACTTGCCACTAAGTGTTTTATACACATGGTGTTATTCAATCCTCATGAGAACCCTAGTTAAATATTATAAAAATTTCTATTTTATTTAAAAAGGATAAAAAAGGAAAATAGTATCAAAAAAAAATGCCCTTCCCCCTGATCCCAGCAGCAATGAAAAGCTGAGACCTCCTTAGTTGTCTGCTTAACCAAATTAGACAGATAGCTGAAGAACATAAGAACTAGAAGGAACCACCAATAAGAATAAGCTTGTAAGAAGAGGGGGTCGGGGGGTGACAGCTTTTCATTTTTATATACATCAGCCTACATTTGTAGTTCACAACTATCTGTTAAATAGGACTGATATTATTATAGAGATATTTTCTAAGAAAGAAACTGAATTTCCCAAAACCCTAGTTTCTTTTTTTTAAGTAGAAGAAAATAGAACTATATATTTAGTCAAGTGGGATGTTTGGTTTAGTTAAGAAAAAAAATTCAATATAAAGCAAAGGCAAGAAGCTAATTTAGAGTGATACAGCAATAAGCTCACAATGCCCAGAGAGAAGGCCAAAGTCTTGAAACCAGATAGTCTGCCCAATCCACTAAGCTTCATCATTTTAAATAAATTTGCACTACTGGGATATTATCTCTCTCTCTCTCTCTCTCTACTTTTTGCTTGTATTGACTGGATTTTTCCTGCGTTAAATGAAGTTATTTACTTGAATTGGTCATCCCTATTTACTAAAAGCCAGACAATTTGTATGTTTTACTAAGTATGATATTATAAAGCAAATTATGAACAAGTGAAACTAATTTAATTGAAGAAAATGAGATTGCATACTTCGGTAATTTAATGAAATTAAGAGTTGTTCATTCTCACTTTCTCTCTCAACCCAACGCATTGCCACTGAGGCCACTTTTCCCAGTCACTTTGCAAACAATTGTTAGGCACTTTGCACATGCAGTAAGCTTAGCGTCTATCGGTGATGTAAGGAAGACATTTAGCCCCTATTTCAGGAGGCTTGGAGAACCCCGGCATCCTTCCACTAGTCGAAAGTTATAATAAAAAGCTAGTCTCCTCCTCCATGTCCTTACACAGTTGGTGGGCTTCCGCATGGTAGCATAAAGATCGTGATGGATTTATCATCTTAGGTAAACAAGGAATTCACATAAAGTCCCACATTTTCCCTGGAGATCCCTCTACTTCACAGCCCACAGTTAGAAGGAAGTCTTCCCCACATGGCTCGAAAGTTATAGGGACAATTCTGGAGATTCTTAAACTAGCAGTTTAGTAACACAGAACTGGCACTGTGGCATTGCACGTCTGTCCCTGAATTCTATCACATAAGATGAGAATCTTGAATTTTCTTAACTAAAACAGCTTCCAAGGGGATAGTGATCTGGCTGGGACATCAGCCACCCACACTGGGCACAAAGACTATCTTAGAGGTGCTGCCATTTTGGTTGTAGTCTCTTTCTTATCTGTGATCACTCTTTCCCAACACTTCTTTCTCAGTCTAACCCAAAAAAGACAATATGAACCCATTAGAAATGGATATACTTTAAGTTACTGTTCTGCCATGCTGAAAATTTTGTATTATGTCACATTCCTTCAACCTGTTCCCTTTATAATGAACACCATGAATTTGCAGCATAACGCCACAGTACTGTTGGTTGTCTGCATTTATAGACTACATTGTAATCACTAGAGAGATTACTGTACCACTAGAGGATCAAGTACATACCCTTAGGCTTACTAACATGATTTTGTAAATATATGAGCTAGTCAGCAAGAGATATTTTCTATCCAAGTATTTTTTAGTATTTACTATATGTATGATACGGTGATTTTTTTTTAAGTGTATGGGCTTGCTGTTTTGTGTCTGTTCTTTACTTTCTCCATCTTAGACACACAACCTCAGAATGAACCTAGATCAGAGTCTGCGAATTTTTCCTGTAAAGGGTCAGACAGTAAGTATTTTAGGCTTTGAAGACCACAGTCTTTGTCCCAGCTACTCACTCTGCCACTGCAATGTGAAAGCAACCTTAGACAACATGTAAACAAATAAGCATGGCTGTGCCCCAATAAAACTTTATTTACTAAAACAGGTGACAGGCCAGATTTGGCCCATGGGCCATAGCTTGCTGCCCCCTGACCTAAACTTAAGGGTTAATGAGGGCAGGAAACTATCTGTTCTTGCACCTCTTGCACCTATCATACAAAGAATATTCAAATGTGTTAACTAAATGAATAAAAATAAATTTCAAGAAACAAAACTGTTCTGTATCAATCATAATAGCAACTGCATAATATTCTATATCTGTCAGTGTGGTATAAAGTAGCTTGTCATTAGAGAAGCATTTGCTGAATAACTGAAACTCAGCTTCATACCAAAGATCAAAGTCTATTTTTTATTCTTAATTTATCCACTGGGTTACCTTTGGGGAATTTATTCTTGTTTCAAAACATCACTAAAAGATGCATTAAACTTAGGCTGTGGCCCTGCATATATTTACTCCTTTTAAAAGTGCTCAAGTAGAAACAGGCATGTTTAAAAGCTCTTTTTATGCGTGTGTTCCCACTCACATGTTGTTTTAATTTTTCAGTTTCATCAGGGCAGGTAAGCTGCCATCTGGTTGATTCTTGACAGCTCTCAGTGGTTTTAGCAGAAACTTCGGCAGTTGATTTCTTTTTTTTTTAATGAAGGTAGCCAATGTTTTGACAAAACATTGTCAAACAAAACAAAACACCCCTCTATCCCTATAGAAATTATTGAGTCTTCAGAACTTGTTTTCTGACCAAGTATTCCCAGAAAGGATTCATAATTTTTCTTCCCTTTCAAGAATTCTCCCCTTTTTCAGTCAACTGTCACAACTGATAGCTTACTGGCAAAAAAGGGAGTTTTTAACTTTCAGTACAAAATAAACAACATAGCACTGCAAATAAACCTTTTGAAATGATAAGCATAATACTTTTGTAATGGCATTTTCACATCTACTGTTATTAAAAATATGTCCAGATGCCAAAATAAAGGAAATCAAAATTATGATCACCCAAAATAAATGATTTTTTTTCTGGTTAAATATAGAAGTGTTGGTTCTAAAGATTTATAATAAAAATTTATCATAACTGGGGGCCTATATTTCTTAACCAAAAAAAAAAAAACTTCCATTTTCAGGGCATAAAAATTTACCTGACTTCCACCCCATTTTCTAATGTACATTTTAACATCTTTAGTTCAAAAATCTTTATCCAGAGGCTTTATAAATAGAGAAATGAGCAGTACTCGAAAAAAAAAAAAGGTAGGGGGGGAGGCGAAAGAAAGGAAGAAAAAGATTGTATCTACTGTATCCTACATTCAACCCCAGATATGTCTGGCTATTAGAATCATCTGGTCAGTTTTTAAGAATACAAACAACTAGACCCCATGACAGGGTCAGGCTGGAGAATGTGTTGGTTTTGATTGGGGTGCTCTCCAGCTGGTCCTGATGGCATCAGATTCTGGAACCCCTCAACAGAGGACTCTTTCCCACTAAGACTGCTACATCTGGTCAAAGCTCTAATGATAATCAGAAAGGCCCCAGACGCCTCTTCTCATCAGTAGGTAGATTTTCTTTTCATCTTTTTTATCTTCACCTAAAATTAGGTGTCAGCCACAAAATCCTTTTTACTCCTGCTATAAGCCCATCATCTGTCTTAACAATCACAGACCCTCTTTCATTCTGTAGCTCTTCCAGTCTTTGAAAATAAAGGCTGATGTGCATACACAGAAGTGTACTTTTCATGGAACCATAAAATACAGTGACTGTTTCTAGTTCTGATGTAAAGAGAAGCCATTTATCAGTGTAAACACCTCATGCCTTGATTACAAACATAAGTATGTGAAAATATTTATGGAACTTAAATTATGGAATTCAATGCAGCATTATGTCATTCCACCATACTTGAGAAAATCAGACAATAAGCAGTAATGATTAAAAGGAAGCAAAACAACAACAAATATTTACTGAGTGCCTTGATATGCCAGGTACTAGGATGATAAACAAACACATTATTTAAAAACAATGACAATAACAACAACAACAACTAGAGGCCAGGAGTGGTGGCTTATGCCTATAATCCCAAAAACTAGAAGGCTGAGAAAGAAGGACCACTTGAAGCCAGGAATTGGAGAACAGATTTCTATAAAAAATTTAAAAATTTGCCAGACATGTATGTGCCTGTAATCTCAGCTACTTAGGACACTAAGGCAGGAGGATCTCTTTAGCTCAGGAATTCAAGACTTCAGAGAGCTATGATCATACCACTGTACTCCAGCCTAGGTGACAGAGTAAGACCCTGTCTCTAAAAAAATTAAAACTGAAACTAAATAAACAGTTTTAGTAGGCAATTTCAGTGCCATGATTAATTAATTTGTTCATACAATTTCCCAACAAGTGGTTAAGTTCACTGAAGGAAATAATATTTTAATGAAGCAAATTGTATAGATGTGGTAATGGCTGGTTTCTCTTTACTGCTGAGATTTTAAATATTTTTCTGTTATTGCAGACTGAATAAAATATCTAACAAAGGAGGTGAAAGATCCCTATGAGGACAACTACAAAGCACTGCTGGAAGGAATCAGAGATGACACAAATAAATGGAAAAATATTCTATGCTCATTGACTGGAAGAATCAATAGGGTTAAAATGGCCATACTGCCCAAAACAATCTGCAGACTCCTATCAAGCTACCAATGTCATTTTTCATAGAACTAAAAAAACTATTCTAAAATTCATATAAAACCCAAATAAAAAGAGCCTGAATGGCCAAAACAATCCTAAGTAAAAACAACTAAAGGCATTGTATTACCCAACTTCAAACTATATACAAGACTACAATAACCCAAACAGCATGGTACTGGTACAAAAACAGACATATAGACCAATGGAACAGAAAAGAGAACACAGAAATAAAGGTACACACCTACAATCATCTGATCTTTTACAAACTCAGCAAAAATAAGCAATAGGGAAAAGATTCCCTATTCAACAAATGGTGCTGGGATAACTGGCTCTCCATGTACAGAAGAATGAAACCACAGCCCTACCCATCACCATATACAAAAATCAACTCAAGATGGGTTAAAGATTTATTATTAATTATTATTATTATTATTATTATTATTTTGAGATGGAGTCTTTCTCTGTTGCCCAGGCTGGAATGCAGTGGCGCCCCGACTCACTGCAATCTCCCCGACCCAGGTTCAAGCGATTCTCCTGCCTCAGCCTCCCGAGTAGCTGGGATTACAGGCACACACCACCATGCCCCACTAATTTTTGTATTCTTAGTAGAGACTGGGTTTCATCATGTTGGCCAGGCTTGTCTCGAACTCCTGACCTCAAAGTGATCCGCCCGCCTCAGCCTCCCAAAGTGCTGAGATTACAGGCGTGAGCCATCATGCCTGGTTTTTGGGTTAAAGACTTAAATGAAAAACCTCCAACTATAAAAATCCTAGAAGAAAACCTAGGAAATATTCTTCTCGATAATGGTCTTGGCAAAGAATTTATGGCTAAGACCTCAAAAGTAGTTGCAACAAAAACAAAACTTGACAAGTGGGATTTAATTAAACTGAAAGTTTCTGCACAGCAAAAGAAGTTATCAACAGAGTAAACAGATAATTTACAGAATGGGAGAAAATATTTGCAAACTGTACATCCAACAAAGGTCTAATATCCAGAATCTGTGAGGAACTTTAGGAAATCAACAAGCAAAACACAAATAACCACTTTAAAAAGTGGGCAAAGGATATAAATGGACTCTTCTCAAAGGAAGGCATACCAGCAGCCAACAAACATATAAAAAAATGCTCATCATCACTAGTCATTAGAGAAATGCAAATCAAAACCATAATGAGATACCATCTCACACCAGCCAGAATGGTTTTTGTTCAAAGTCAAAAAATAACAGATGTAGGCAAGGCTGTAGAGAAAAGGGGACACTTACACACTGTTGGTGGGAATGTAAATTAGTTCAGCCACTGTGGAGAGCAGTTTGGAGATTTCTCAGATAACTAAGAGTTGAACTACCATTTGAACCAATGATCCCAGTACTGGGTATATATCCTAAGGAAAAGAAATCATTCTACCAAAAGGACATCTACACCCATATATTCATCACAGGACTATTCACAATAGCAAAGACATGGAATCAACTTAGGTACCCATCAGTGATGAGGACTGCATAAAGAAAATGTGATACACATACATAATGGAATACTACACAACCATGAAAAAGAATAAAATCATGTCCTTTGCACAACATGGATGCAACTGGAAGCCATTATCCTAAGCGAACTAACATAGAACAGAAAACCAAATGCCACATGTTCTCACTTATAAGTGGGAGCTAATCATTGGGTACACACAGACATAAAGATGGGAACAATAGACACTGGGGACTACCAGAGGTCGGGGAGAGGGAGAAGGGTAAGGGCTAAAAAATGACCTATTGGGTACTATGCTCACTTCAAGGGTGACAGGTTCAGTCACACCCCAAACCTCAGCATCATGCAATATCCCTTTGTAACAATTCTGCACATGTACTTCCTGATTCTTAAATAATAAAAGTTGAAAAAGAAAAAACAAACCATGACCTCTGCTTTATATTGTACACAGCTAATGGGTACTTTTGATAGTTAAATCAAGTTTCCAACAAGATTGATTTATTTTTTCTATGAAATGTTTGAGACCCTACGCTCTTATTTTCACCAGTTTCCCGCACTTAGCTTCTGGGGGGGCTTATACTGAGAGATTAGCTAGGAAGTTAATGAATATAACTTTTCTGAAGTAAGATACTAAAGGCTTCAAGTAAGACAGCCACAGTGCAGAAAGGGCAGGGAGGAAATGGAGAAGAAGAAATATTAAGCATGCCTCTAAGGTTTTTTTCTGGTTGGCAACCTGGGAGAGTTGTGGTACTGGATCCAACAAGATAGGAAACATGTAAGGAGCATCTCTGATGTGACAGATGGAAAGAAATGACCAATTCAATCACAAACACATTTCTTGTGTAATGCCCTCAGAATCAAATGCCTTCAGGTGTGATATTGTACTGGTAGAAGAAAATAACAACCCTATCTGAATACTCAAGAGGAAGGGCAATAAATATATACACTTATTACTTGTCAACTAAAAATAAAAAAAAAACAACTATTTTTTTAAAGGGTAGGAGCAAACTCAAGATATGTCAAAGTACTCTAAAGATGTATGTATCAGCTGTCTATTTGCCACAATGATGCTGCATAATGAAAAACTACATAAGCATTTATTTTGTTCAAGGTTCTGCTGGTGATTGGATGGTTCTGCTGGTGATTGGATGGTTCTGCTGGTGATTGGATGGTTCTGTTGGTTCCAGCTAGGCTCACTCATGTTGCTTTGGTCAGAGGCAAGCCTGGTTGGGTTAACATTGCTGATCTCGGCTAGCTTTAAAGCTTTGGCTGCAACAAAAAGGCTGTCTCAGCACTGCTATTGTGGTCTCTCATCCTCCGACAGACTGATTCTCAAGGGAGTGGCAAAGTTTAGTGAGAGGAAGCAAAGGCACAAAAGGCCTCTAGAGGCCTATCAACTGGGCACAGCTTTACTTCTGCACATTATATTGACTAAAGCAAGTTCTAAGGGCAACTCAGATTCAAGGGGTAGGGAAATAGACTCTGCCTCTTGATGGAAGAAGTTCAAAGTCATATTACAATGGGTATAAATAAAGAGAGGGAAGGAGAATAGGGGCCATTTTTGCAATCAATGTATCATATTTCTTAACCCATTTTTTTCTGAAACAACCTGTTTCTGTTCATTCAACTTAGAAAAAGAGAATTAGAGATCTGTAAAATTTTAGACCTAAATGGGACTTTCGTGGTTATGCTCTCAAATTGCATGCCAGAACCTGAAGTATAAGTAGATTTAATAACTTATGAACAAAATCTAAATAGGTATAAGCCTAAGATTAGAAAGTAGGCTTTCCAAGGTCTGGATCCACGCCCTTTCATCAAACCATGACACTGGTTCCCCAGAGTATTCAACCTTTTTAAATAACTGTTCACTCACAAGGCCTTTTTTTCCAGAACAATATTTGGAAATTTACAGTTTTTTAATTTAAATAATAAAATCTTCACTCGCAGGAAATATGAACACAAAGACACTTTTTACAAATGACTCCTTTTATCCATCATTATCCACAATTATTTAGTAAGTAATATAAAGATATTTGTGACTAAATATAATGACTATGTGCTATAAAAAGAAAATTATATAATGGATTTATCATTACTTAGCTTGACTCTGTAGCACTTGGATTAATAACTTCTTTAAAAACAGAACATAAACCATTCTAATCTCTTATTTAAGGTTTCTAGAAACACTTTCTGATTCATAAATGTTCTCTCCTCATGCTACTTGATTTTTCTAGTTTATCTTGCTTTACTAATAATTAAGGAACTCTAAATTGAGAGTACATGTAAGTTATTAGATGATGACAAATGTCAACCTGATTTCTCATGCATAGCAAACTAATTTAAGAGTACAGAATTTTATGCTTTCTATTTGAAGTACACTTTATTATAGTCCATAATCAGCCTTTATAAACAGGGGATGATGAGAATGAAGTCTATACCCCCTCCTTTTTTTCTAACTAGAAATGTAGAAATAACTAAATAACTAAACTATAAAAAGAAAATGGTTAAATTCTGGATATTCCACACAAAGGAATATCAAATCAATGACAAGGGAAAATGCTCTAAAGATAATGTTAAGATCAAAAAAAAAACAATAAAAGAAAGAAAGAAAATATTTATATATAGCATAATCCTGATTGTTTAAATGTATACAATACAAACACTGGAAGGATCTATGGCAAAATATGAACAGTGGTTTCTTTCTTTGGATGAAGAAACTTTAAGTGACTTATATTTTCTTCTTTGTACTTTTATGTATTTTTTAATCAAATCAAAATAAATTTTAAAATTACATTATTTAAAAGATTAGTAATTGAAAAACGAGAAAGGAAAGTAAATCACAAGATTAAAATGGTGAACATTTAAAATGCAATAAGCCTTTTAAAATTAATATATCTGAATAAAATAATTATTTAATAAAACGTTTTACATGAACTTGATTTTTTAATCATCCTGTTTTCAAAATTAGTTATGAAACCATAAAATTAGAATGCATGACACAACAATCCCATTTTGCAGAAAAGAAGCTGACTCATGCCCAGAAAGATTAAATGACTGATTTATCCAATAATATGTAGTCAGAACCAAGACTCACCACCTAGCCACATTCTTTCTATTTTATCATTCTTCCTCTCCAAAAACCCTAAAAGGAAAAATAAATTAAAATACTGAGAATTAATACATAATATACTAGCAGGCTGTTTTAGTATACAAATGTCTTGCTCATCTTCTTTTATTTATGAGTACATTTCTAGAAACAGTACCTCTGAAGTTTAGCACTTTTGTTTTAAAACATTATTACTTTCCAGATTCACATATGGCAATGTTTTGATTTTTTTGACATTTTCTTCTTGATAACAAATGACATTTTGCTTCAGAGGCTTTAGTTTAGAAAGACAGAGCAACACACAAAGCTAAGAACCAAAGCATCTATTTTTTACTTACTAGTAATTGAAAGACAGTGCACACCTTGAGCCAAAATTTATCTCATTAAATTTTTAGGCTGTTGATATTTTTAAAATGCACATGACATGGTTCCTGATTTCAAAGAGCTTATGGCACATTGGAGGGAGATAGATATACAAGTAACTAAGAGCAATGCAAGGCTGCAGTTACTAAAACAAATGTCTTTACAAGCATAAAGGAGAGGCTAGTTACTTCTACATTGGGAGATATGAAGTAAGGCCTTCAAGAACTGTTTTATAAACTGAAAGATTGAGCCGAAAATTCTTCAATATAGTTCAAAATTACATTTTTAAAAAAAAAATGAAGAAAACAATGAGTGACATCAGCAAGATGGCTGACTAGAAGCCTCGAGTCCTACTGCATGCATCAGAGGAGTAACAGAACCCTGGTGAGCACAAAATCCCAGGAGGGCCACATAGGGAACAGCAGAAAACACCAGGACCCCACAACCCCATCTCCCAGAAAGAATCAGCTGGGAACCAGGAGGAACTTCTCCCCCTCTCAAGGAGGTAAACAAGAGGATTTCAGCAACCCCCATTAACACCTTGGACACCTGCAGTCATTACACTGGGGTCCCCTGCAGTCCTCACAAGCACTAAGCCCAGCTAAGGGAGCTGCCTGGAGTTCACATAGCTGTAATCCCCCCGGAGAAGGAGCCGGCACTGTGCTCCACCCCATGGCCAGCGCAGCTACAGTGCTATGCCATTTTGGAAGTGGAACTACAGCTGGAGTGTCTTGTGCTAGGGGAGAGTAGCCACTTCATCCCTGAGCCTAAGCCACCACTGAGCCACCTCAGCCTAGCGGCCCAATATCCCTAATCAGAGCTGAAAGCAGCTGTTACACACTTCCCTGTGGGGCCAAGTAGAGATGGAGCTGCTTTACCTACTCCTGCTCTATCTACTCAGGCCAAAGCTGAAGTGGTATGCAGCCTTCTGGAAAAATAGCACCTTGGCTGCTCAGAACAATTTTGCCTCCATGGTACCTTACTTGCAGCAATGTCCTGCATCCCAGGAAATGGTGCTTGGATCACTCAGAACAGTCACACAGTATGACCTGAGCCAAAGCAGCACATTGTCCTGGGAAAATTGGTGCCCTGGCTGAGCTAATCAGCTGCACATCCCAGGGCTGAGCTGATGTAGTACACTTATCCCAGGAAAACAGGACAATGGCTAAGCTGAGACACCCCACCCTATATCCCTACTGGCCAAACAACTCTAATTACCCTGCTTCCCTGGAGCTGGACTACCTCCCTAGAGTCTGAGCTGCTGAGATACTCCTCTCACTGGACAGTGGAGTCATTACTGTGCTGTCCTTCCCCTCCAACCGCTGCAGAACCCTCTCAACAGCTACCTGCCATTCTGGGGTACTTGCTGCCACTGTACTGGGCCTAACAGAGTCTGGGATAGTGCTGAGCCCCATCATCCTGGAGTCTAGAGACACTACTACAAAGTGATTTATCTGCTAGGACATCAGTTGTCACAGAGCCCTATTGGCTAAGGTTCCCAAATTGCAGCTGTATTCTGTTCCCCAGGCTCAAATCTCCAGAGCACTCCTTCTTCCTCAAAGTTGGGCCAGTACTGTGCCTTGGCCCCCCAGGGGTAGAATCATAGCTACAACCAGCCCCCACAAGCCCAAGCTACTAGGAAGTGCCTCAGAGTCACAGATCCTGGTTCTGTGGGCAACTCTGCTACAGAAAGCAATTCTGTACCCCAATTCTACATTCAACTCTGCTACAGAAAGCAATTCTGTACCCCAATTCTACATTCAACTCTGCTACAGAAAGCAATTCTGTACCCCAAGACCCAGGTGCCACAAGAGGTTTACAAGATCCTGAGACTAGGACCCCAGCCCCACAGCAACTCTGAGCTCCTGCACCTGGAAACCTATGCCGTACAGCTGCTTATAGGCTATGTCAGACCTAACACCAAGAGGATCCCCTTGCCTAAGGCTCCTCAGGGGAGGTGGGGAATGTGAAAATAAGAGGATCTCAAAAGCCCTTGACACTGAGGACATTAACAAACTATGCCACTGCTACAAACTTCTACAGCATAGGTGACTGGAGTGCCCAGAATTATTGCTGATGTTGAACACAGCTGAAGAAGCTGCATGAAGACTGCACTTATCTGGAAACAGAGTCCCTATACCCTTCCTAACTAGTACACTAAAACCCAGTTGCAGGTGAAAGTATTTCTCTACGAAAGCCACTGTAGAAATTTTGGAAGAGGTATCAGATACAAACATCAATGCAGGGACAAAAGAAACATGAAAAAGCAAAAATATATGACACCACTAAAGGAACATAATTCCATAACAGACCCCAATAAGAAAGAGCGAACCCCAATAAAAAGGAAATTAATAAATTTCCAGATAAAGAATTAAAAATAATCATCTTGAGGGAACTAAATGAGATATAAGAAAATACAAACAGATAATTCAATAAAATCAGGAAAATTATTTATGATATGAATGAGAAATTCAACAGAGATAGAAATCAGAAAAGAATGGAACAAATCCTGCAGATAAAGAATTCAATAGGAATAAAATTTTAAAATACAATATAACAATAGAGAGCTTCAACAGCAGACATGATTAAACAGAACAATCTCTGAAATTGAATATAAGTCATTAGAAATTACCCAGTCCAAGAAATAAAAATGAAAGGGTGAGGAATGCCTACAAGACACATGGGACACCATTAAGCAAACAAAATTCTGTATTATGGCATTACCAGAAGGAGAAAAGTAGGGAAAAGGTATAGAAAACTGATTAATGAAATATCTGAAACCTTCCGAAGTCTGGAGAAAGATACAGGTATCTAGATCCAGGAAGCTCAAACAGATTCCCAAACAGATTCAACCCAAAAAGGTCCTCCCAAGGCTTACAGTCAAATTGTCAAAAGTCAAAGAAAAAAAGACAATTCTGTAAGTAGTAAGCGAAAAGCATCAAGTCACATATAAGGGAATCTCCTTTAGACTAACACCAGATTTCTCCATATAAACCTTACAGGCCAAGAAAGAATGAAGTGACATATTCAAAGTGCTGAAGAGAAAAAAAAATCCAGCCAAGAATACTATACCTAGCAACACTATCTTTCAGAAATGAAGGAGAAATAACATCTTTCCCAGATAAGCAAAAACTGAGAGAAATCATCTCTCATCACCACTAGACCAATTTATAAAATATTTTCAAGGTAGTCCTATGTCTAGAAGAAAAGAGATATAATTACTATCATGAAAACACACAAAAGTATGAAATTCACTAGTACAGCAGACACAAAGAAGAGAAAAGAATCAAATCTTATCACTACAGAAAACCACCAAACTGCAATGATACAAAATAAGAGGAAAAAATACACAAAAGCTATACAAAAAAAAAGAAAAAAACAGAAAGCTACTAACAAAATGACAGGAGTAGGTCCTTCCTTGTCAGTAATAACCTTGAATAAAATGAATTAAGTTTCTCCACCTAAAATTTTGATATGGACTGAATGAATGGATTTAAAAAAAACTCAACTATATACTGCATAGAAAAACATTCCACCTGTAGAGACACACATAGACAGAGAGTGAAGAAATGGAAAAAGATATTCTATACAAATGAATATCAAAAGCAAGCTGGAGTAGCTATACTTATGTTAGATAAAATGCACTTTACATCAAAAATAGCAAAAAAGAGGCCAAGAAGATCATTATATAATGATAAAATTATCAATATAGCAAAGGATGTAACAATTATATATGTAAATGCACCCAACACTGGAGCACCCAGATGTATAAGGCAAATATTATTAGAACTAAAGAGAGAGATCAACTCCAACACAATAATAGTTGGGGACTTCAATACCCCTACTCTCAGCATTGAACAGATCATCTAGGCAGAAAATCAACAGAGAAACATTGAATTTAAACTGCACTTTAAACTAAATGGACCTATCAAACATTTATTGAACATTTCATCTAACAGCTGCAGAACACATATTCTTTTCATCATTACATGAAACATTCTCTGGGAAAGACCACAAGCTAGGTCATGAAACAAGTCTCAACAAATCTAAAAGAACTGAAATCATACTATCTTTTCTAACCACAATGGAATAACATTAGACAATAACAACAGGAACTTCTGAAATTGTACAAATACATGGAAATTAAACAATGTACTACTGAATGACCAAAAGGATACACTGTTATACGCTGTTGATGGGAATGTTAATTAGTATAGCCATTATGCAAAACAATATGGATCAATGGGTCAATAAAAAAAATTAAGAAATAAATTAAAAACTCTTTGAAACAAGTGAAAATAGAAACACAGCATACTAAAACCTATGGAATACTGCAAAAGCAGTTTTAAGAAGGAAGTGCATAGTAATAAACACCAACATTAAAAAAGTAGAAAGATTTTTTTTAATTTTATTTTATTTTAAGTTCCAGGATATAGGTGCAGGACCTGCAGGTTTGTTATGTAGGTAAACGTGCGCCATGGTAGTTGGCTGCGCCTATCAACCTATCACCTAGGTATTAAGCCCCATATGCATTAGCAATTTATCCTGATGCTCTCCTTCCCCCCACGACCACAACAGACCCCAATGTGTGTTGTTCCCCTCCCTGTGTACATGTGTTCTCATTGTTCAGCTCCCACTTCTAAGTGAGAACATGTGGTGTTTGGTTTTTTGTTCCTGCATTAGTTTGCTAAGGATAATGGTTTCCAGCTCCATCCATGTCCCTGCAAAGGACATGAACTCATTCTTTTTTATGGCTGCATAGTATTCCATGGTGTACATGTACCACATTTTTCTTTATCCAATCTATCATTGATGGGCATTTGAGTTGATTCCATGTCTTTGCTATTGTGAATAGTGCTGCAATGAACATAAACTTGCTTGTATCTTTGTAATAGAATAGTTTATATTGTCATTCTATTATAAATTATTCAAAACCATTCTATTAGACAGATTTTAAATAAACAACCTAACAATGCATCTCAAGGAACTAGAAAAGCAAAAAAAAAAAAGAAAGAAAGAAAGAAAGAAAACCAAACCTACAATTAATGGAAGAAAAAATAATAATAAATATCAGTACAGAAACAAACAAAATTGAGATAAAAAAATCAGTGAAATAAAAAGTTGTGTTTTTCTGAAAAGACAAACAAAATTGGCAAACCATTAGCTAGGCTAACCAAGAAAAAAAAGATCCAAATAAATAAAATCAGAAATGAAAAGAAGAAATTTCTACATGTACCACAGAAATAGGAGGGATTATTAGGAACTATTATGAACAACTATACTACAACAAATTAGAAAACCTAGTAGAAATGGATAACTTCCTGGACACATACAACGTACAATTATTGAATTGGGAAGAAATAGAAAACCTGAACAGAAAACATTTGCAAACTATTCATCCAACAAGGAATTAATATCCAGAATACACAAGAAACTCAAACAACTCAACAACAACAAAAAAATCAAATAATCTGATTTTTAAAATGGGCAGATGAGCTAAATCGACATCTCTCA
The DNA here is from genome assembly GCF_000001405.40 of Homo sapiens. NCBI lineage: Eukaryota > Metazoa > Chordata > Mammalia > Primates > Hominidae > Homo > Homo sapiens. The sequence continues at coordinate 71,362,721 of NC_000012.12, forward strand.
AAAGAAGACATACAAATGACAAATATGTATATGAAAAAATACTCAGTATCAGTCATCATAAGGAAAATGCAAATCAAAACTAAAATCAGATATCATCTCATCCCAGTTTGGATGACTCTTATCAAAAAGACAAAAAATATCAAACACTGGCAAGAATACAGAGAAAGAAGAACTCTTATACACTGTTAGTAGGAATGTTAATTAGTATACCCATTATGCAAAACAACATGAAGGTTTCTCAAAAACTAAAAGTAGAACTACCATATGATCCAGCAATCCCACTACTGGGTATATATCCAAAGGAAAGGAAATCAGTAATGTTAAAGAGATATCTGCACTCCCATGTTTACTGCAGCACTATTCACAGTAGCAAAGACACAGAATCAATCTAAGTGACTGACAAACAGATGAGTGTATGAAGAATATGCCACACGCACATACACATACACACACACACACAATGAAATATTATTTAGCCATAAAAAAGAATGAAATTCTGACATTTGCGACAGCATGGATGAACTTGAAGGATATTATGTTAAGTGAAATACGCCAGGCACAGAAAAATAAATACCTCGTTCTCACTCACATGAGTAAGCTAAGAAAAGCTGATCTCACAGAATTAGAAAATGGAATAGTGGCTACTAGAGGCAGGGAAGTGTAGAGAGGAAGAGATAAATATCCAAAGGTAGTCAATATATACAAAAGCACAGCTAGGTAAGAGGAATAAGTTGAGCATTCTGTACCACTATAGGGTGACTATAATTAAAACAATTTATTGTGTATTTTCAAATAGCAAGAAGAGCAGATTTTGAATGTTACCAACATGAAGAAATGATAAATGCTTGAGGTGATGGATATGCTATTTGCCCTGATTTGATCGTTACATATATATATCGAAATATCACACTGTACCCTATAAGTATGTACAATTATTGTGTTCATTAAAAACAACAAAAGCAAAAAAAAGAAAAAATTGTACTACTATTAAAAAATACTTATTATGTAATATTAATTGGAAAAACAGGATGCAAAATTAGTATACACAGTATAGCTCTGCTTAAAAGTGACATGCACAGGGCAGATAAACAGGTGGAGCACAGGGAATTTTTAGGAAAGTGTAACTATTCTGTATGATACTATAATGATGGATATACATCATTTTACATTCGTTCAAAACCCATAGAATGTACAACACAAAGAGTGAAACTTAATGTAAGCTTGGACTTATAATGTGTCAATATCAGCTCAATGGTCATAACAAATGTCATACTAATGTTTGATGTTATAATAGGGAAGACTGTAGGTGAAAGGGGTAGAAAAAAGGGTATATGGGAATTCTTTGTACTTTCTGCTCAATTTTTCTGTAAATTTAAAAGTGCTCAAGAAAATAAAGTCCTTTTTTTTGAGACATGGTCTCATTCAAGAAAATAAAGTCCTTTTTTTTTTAAAGACGTTCTCACTCTGTCACCCAGGCTGAAGTGCAGTGGCACAATCTCAGCTCACTGTAGCCTCAACCTCCTGGGCCCAAGTGATCCTCTCACCTCAACCTCCTGAGTAGCTGGGACCACAGGAGCACTCCACTACAGCAAGCTAACTCTTTGAGGGTGTTTTTTTTTTGTTTGATTTGGTTGCAGAGACAGGGTTTTGCCATGTTGCCCAGGCTAGTCTCAAACTCCTGGGCTCAAGCGATCTGCCTGCCTTGGCCTCCCAAAGTGCTGGGAATGTAAGCATTAGCCACCATGCCAGGCCCAGAAAATAAACTCTATTAATTAAAAAATAACAATCAAATCTAATGACTATCACCAAACCACTGTTCTATGTGTTAAGAAGGCAGTAAGAGATATTTCACAGATGGTTTCCCTCAAAACAACTTTCAATTATCTTACCTGATTTACAGAATTTTATAAACATAGATCCTTATGAAATGAAAAGAATGTACTTACCCCATATTAAGTGTTATAGTGGAAACAAAAATTTATGAGATACATTGCCAGATAGTGAGGAACATGAAATATTGTTACAGAGTCAATATATATACATAAAAACCAGATGGTGTACTAGTTAGGAAAATATTAGCAGCTGTAACAAATATACCCCAAAAATTCTGCGACCTAACACAATAAAAGTCTATTTCAGGAAGACAGATCTACTGCCATGTTCACTGCAACATTACAATAACCAAGATATGGAAACAACCTATGTTTCTAGAGACAGATGAATGGATATAGAAACTATGATGTATGTGTGTGTGTGTGTAATTAAATATCATTCAGCCTTTAAAAAAGGGGAGATCCTGCCATTTGCCACAGAATGAATGAACCTAGAAGACATTATGCTAAGTAAAATAAGACAGACACAGAAAGAAAAAATATTGCATGATCTCATTAATATGTGGAATATAAGGGAAAAACAAATATACAGAAATACAGAATAAAATGATGTTTACCAGGATCTATAAAGGGAGAGAAAATGGGGAGATATAGGTCAAAGAATACAAAGTAGCAGATATGTAGGATGAACTAAAAATCTAGTGTATAACATGAGGACTATAGTTAATAATAGTATGTTATATTTAGGATTTTTGCTAAATGAGTAGATTATAGCTGCTCTTGCCACAGGAGGGAAAACTGGATAACTATTTGAGATGATGAATATGTTACTTTGTTTCACTATAGTAATCATTGCGATATATATATATCATATATATATCATATATATCACATATATCATATATATATCATATATATCATATATATATCATATATATCATATATATCATATATATATCATATATATCATATATATATCATATACATATCATATATATATCATATATATATCATATATATATATCATAACACCATGTTCTATACCTTAAACACAAACAATAAATTTTTAAGCCTATTTCATAAGAGTTCAATGTGCATGTTCCTGGTTGGAAAATGACTTTTCTCTATGTGTTGATGCAGGGATACAGGCTCTTTCCAGCTTGTTTGCCATTTATTGGTAGCCCCACAGTCCCCTCATGTCAACTGGTGGATGAGCAAAGTTAGAGTTGAAAAGGCATGCCACTCCTTATCCTCCTTAGTTTAAACATAAAGTAGCTCTTTCTCCTTTACCCACTGGTGACAACTAATGACATAGTCACACCTACAACTGGGAGGGCTAGCTGGGCAACTGCTTCCTAGCAACAACTCCACACTGTGGAGGGTAGAACACAAATCTCTGGTAGATGTCTATCTGATCATTCCTGGCATAGATTTTTTTTTTGAAGGACATGGAGGAATTGATGGGTTTTTTTTATACCATATCAAAAAATTGCCTGATTGTAGATATAATTGGTGACTCTCTCTGATTGTTAGAAAAACTTGGTCTACACTAATGTTTCTCAAACCTTAGACTTCCTACAAAGATACATGCTTGTGAAGCTAGAATCTCTCATAGTAATTAAACAAATTATTCTTACATTGTGTTTTTTGGAGGTACTTTATAGTTGAAACCACCTTGTGTGAAGCCATTTTGGCACATGGGTAAGTTGACACACTTGGAGGCTTATTTAGTCCTTCAACAAATATTTATGAAGCATTAACCCTATTCCAGGACACACACTGCTCTTCAAGAAACAAAGACAACAGAAGATTTCCCAGGTGGCCGGAGGGAGAGGCTGACTTTCTAAATTAATCTAAACTGAGATTCTAGGGAATAATTAAAAGAAGATACTTTAACATCTGTTGCAGAATTTTTTATTTGAGACCCCCCAAACCATAAAAGTACGTGGACTATCCACTGCCGAGCATAAACTTTTGGGGCAAGGGTGGCAGAGGGTGAGGCTGGTACTGGGAATGAAAGAGATTATTCCACATGACACTAGATCTACATGTGGAATAATTATGAAGTAGGTCTATGATAAAAACCATGATTCAAAGGTATCCAAGAAGGGGAACAGAGTATGTGATGATACTCTTCATGGAACTAGAGGTGACCAGCAAATGATAAAGTTTTGAGAGAGACCATAAATTTTATTAGAGGGTGTTGAGTATGAGATAACTCTAGATTATACAAAAATTCATCTAGATGTAAGAAAAGTTATTTACTCCCAAGAACTTAAATACAGTTTATATTCAGATCTTATTCTGTTTTTCAAGCTTGTTTTTATAAATTAGTATACAAGGAAAAAAAAGAAAGAAGGGAAAAAAAAGAAAGAAAGGAAAAAGGAAAAGACAAACAAAGGTAGATAGATAATATCATTGTGTCTTTATGATATTATATTTGGCAAGATTTAGTCCTCCTTTTTAGAGGCTTTAACTGCATTTTGCAAACCAGGACAATTTTTTATTAAAAAATCAAAATCACCTGGCAGGAACACGCACATTGAACTCTTATGTGAACATGAAATAGACTTAAAATAATTTATTGTTTGTATTTAAGGTATACAACATGATGTTATGAGACACATATTCAAATATTGAGGCTGCATCAAACATTTTGAAACACTTATCAAAGGCATACTGTCTTTTAGGGACCACCTACTCTTTAAAACCAAACCAAACAAAACAAAGGTGCTGGTTTAAAAGCAAACCTAGCTTTATTGTGGGTCTGGTATAAAATCATCGCTATGGTGGTGCTATTCATCTCTTCTATTTCATCTCTTGGTATTTACACTCTGATTTTAACTGTACATTGTCAGTTATTCAAATCCACTTTCCAGAATCAAAATTCAGGTCAGTTCCCCTGACAATATTTGTACATCTCATCGAATCTTAACTTTTGTTCATTCTATAGAAATGACACCATGAGTAATTTTTAACATTGTTTCCTGGTTGGCAATATATTGTGAAGTGGCTTTATGAAGTAATCTCTAGGCAAGACAAATTCAGCACAAAATAGGATAAGGATATAAGCAACAATAGCTATACATTTTATTAACTGCCTGTGTTGACCTGGAATTCTTTTCTTTTCTTTTTTCTTTTTATTATACTTTAAGTTCTTGGCATACACGTGTGGAACGTGCAGGTTCATTACATAGGTATACATGTGCCATGGTGGTCTGCTGCACCCATCAACCCGTCATCTACATTAGGTATTTCTCCTAATGTTATCCCTCCCCTAGCCCCCCACTCCCCAACAGGCCCCAGTGTGTGATGTTCCCCTCCCTGTGCCCATATGTTCTCACTGTTCAACCCCCACTTATGAGTGAGAACATGTGGTCTTTGGTTTTCTGTTCCTGTGTTAGTTTGCTGAGAATGATGGTTTCCAGTTTCATCCATGTCCCTGCAAAGGACATGAACTCATTCTTTTTTATGGATGCATAGTATTCCATGGTGTGTATGTGCCATATTTTCTTTATCCAGTCTATCATTGATGGGCATTTGCATTGGTTCCAAGTCTTTACAATTGTGAATAGTGCTGCAGTAAACATACTTGTGCATGTGTCTTTACAGTAGAATAATTTATAATCCTTTGGGTATATACTCAGTAATGGGATTGCTGGGTCAAATGGTATTTCTAGTTCTAGATCCTTGAGGAATTGACACACTGTCTTCCAAAACTGTTGAACTAATTTACACTCCCACCAAAAGTGTAAAAGTGTTCCTATTTCTCCACATCCTCTCCAGCATCTGTTGTTTCCTGACTTTTTAATGATCGCCATTCTAACTGGCATGAGATGGTATCTCATTGTGGTTTTGATAAAGACCTAAACCATAAAAACCCTAGAAGAAAACCTAGGCAACACCATTCAGGACATGGGCATGGGCAAAGACTTCATGACTAAAACATCAAAAGCAATTGCAACATAAGCAAAAATTGACAAATGGGATCTAATTAAACCAAAGAGCTTCAGCACAGCAAAAGAAACTAACAGGCAACCTACAGAATTGGAGAAAGTTTTTGCAGTCTATCCACCTGACAAAGGGCTAAAATCCAGAATCTACAAGGAGCTTAAACAAATGTACAAGAAAAAAAAGAAACACCCCCATCAAAAAGTGTATGAAAGATATGAAACGACACTTTTTAAAAGAAGACGTTTATGTGGCCAACAAACGTAAGAAAAAAAGACCTGAAATTCTTTTAAGTGTTTATCACTGTGAACGTGATTGTGAACATATTTGATTGACATATATTTTCATTTTAAATACAGTCATGGACAGCATAATGACATTTAGGTCAATGACAGGCTGCATATATGGTGGTGGTCCCATAAGATTACCATAAGATTATAATACAGCTGAAAAATTCCAATTGCCTGGTGATATCATAGCTGTTATAATGTTGTAGCACAATGCATTACTCATGTATTTGTGGTGATGCTGTTGTAAACAAACCTACTGGCCTGCCAGTTGTATAAAAGTATGACACATACAATTATGTACTGTACACAATACTTAATAATGATAATAAATAATTATGTTACTGGTTTATGTATTTAATACATGACAATATTGTTTTAGAGCGTACTCCTTCTACATATATATATGTGTATATATATGTGGGTGTGTGTGTGCATGTATATATATATATATATATATATATATATATATATATATATATATATTTTTTTTTTTTTTTTTTTAGATGGAGTCTCGCTCTGTTTCCCAGGCTGGAGTGCAGTGGCATGATCTCGACTCACTGCAACCTCCACCTCCCAGGTTCAAGCGATTCTCCTGCCTCAGCCTCCTGAGTAGCTGGGACTACAGGCTTGCATCACCATGTCCAGCTAATTTTTTTGTATTTTTAGTACAGATGGGGTTTCACCATATTGGCCAGGCTGGTCTTGATCTCCTGACCTCATGATCCACCCACCTGGACCTCCCAAAGTGCTGGAATTACAGGTGTGAGCCAACGCACCTGGCCATATATAGTTTTTAAAGTTACCTGTAAAACAGCCTCAGGCAGGTCCTTCAGGAGGCATTCCAGGAGAAAGCCTATGTTTTCCTAGGAGATGACAACTCCATGCCTGTTACTGTCTCTGAAGATCTTCCAGTGGGACAAGATGTGGAGGTGGAAGACAGTGAAATTGATTATCCAGACCCCATGTAGGCCTTAGCTAATGTGTGTGTTTGTGTCTTCATTTTTCACACAAAAAAGTTTTAAAAGTAGAAAATTTTAAAAAAAATTTTAGTGGAAAAATACTTATAGAATAAGTATGTGAAAGAAAATATTTTTGTTCAACTGTCCAATGTGTTTGTCTTTTAAGCTATTTTATTATGAAATAGTCAAAATTTTTTTAAAATTAAGTTTATAAAGTAGAAAAGTTATAGTAAGCTAAGATTAATTTATTATTTAAGAAAAAATATTTACAAATTTAGTGTATTCTAAGTGTACAGTGTTTATGAAGTCTACAGTAGTGTACAGTAATGCCCTAGGCCCTCTCATTCACTTACCACTCACTCATAGACTCACCCAGAGCAACTTCCAGTCCTACAAGCTCCATTCATGGTAAGTGCCCTATACAGATGTACCATTTTTTACCTTTTATACCTGGTTTTTACTGTATCATGTCTATGTTTAGATATGTGTAGCTCATAAATAATTACTACTGTGTTACAATTGCCTATGGTATTTAGTACAGTAACATGCTGTATTGGTTTGTAGACTAGGAGCAACAGGTTATACCATATAGCCTAGGTGTGTAGTAGGCTGTGCCATCTAGGATTGACTCTCTGATGTTTGCAAAATGACAAAATCACCTAATAACACATTTCTCAGAACATGTCTCTATAGTTAAACAACATATGACTGTATTTTCATTTAAAATAGTCACTCAAATTTGAAATGGCTATGCTTATTGTCTCCAGATCTCTCTCTCTCTTTCTATATATATATATGTGTGTGTGTGTGTGTGTGTATGTGTGTGTGTGTGTGTGTATGTGTGTGTGTGTATATATATATATATGAAAGAGTTAGAAACACTACTAAGAAAAAATAAATAAAAAGCACAAACTTTTAAAAGTCTGCATACAGTTGTTGTGAAAATAAATGGGATAATATGTTTAGAGAGTGCTTAGCATGATGTCTGGTGGGTTATAAATGACCAATAAGTGGTAGGGATTTTTATTAAGAAAATGCCATAGATCTAAATATTTTTAAAAAATCAAAGTACTCCTAACCACAAATTTACTACTTCTTAAAATATTTTCATAATATTTTAACCAATGAAAATTGTAAATTTTAACTATTTCACATAGATAGCAAAGTAACAATACTTTTCCCTCTTATTTTTATACACAAAAACATAACAAAATGTTTGTTAAAGATTAGTTATTGCTTATATTTATAAAGTAACTATTTTTAAGTTTATCATTGGTATACTGATTAACCAGCTTTGAAATGCAACAGCAAATAATCCTGACTTGGCTTAAAGAATAGTTTCCAGAGATTACAAAAACATCTTCATACTGCCTTTTTCTGTTATCCAAGGCTATGGATACTCTGAAAATTCTGGTGAAGAAAGTAATGTTCTGGACATATTCATAAGCAACCTTATTTTTATAATGTAATCATTAGAATCATAAGAATTATGGTGACCACACACACCCATCAAAACCATAGTGGTTTGTGGGCTGTCTAAAACACTCTTGAAGAGAAGAGAGCAAGATTCTGTTGCATTTGTGACCTCTAGAGGCCAACGGGAAGTGATATATTTTATTCACTCAACAGTGCCTCCAAAGACAATCCTCAAGAGTTTAAGATTTATAGGCATTAAAAAATTGAGCAAATGCAAGAGAAGAGAAGCTCCATTTTAGGTGGATATGTTATCTTGAACTAACAACCACAAACCGCAAATTGAAGTTTTAAATAATAATTTGAAAAAGTCTCAGACACTTGGAGAACCTTCATGGAAAATGAAAACCTCCCCTACTTCACAGTGCAGCTGTCCAGATTAATTACTTATTGTAAGTAATCATCATATTGAAGATGAACACAGCATAATGCACTCACTGGACCCTGGAGTCAAAATTAAATTCCAATGTTTGCTTGTTTGGTATTCTGCAAAAATCATTAACCCCTCTGAGCCTCAATGCTCTCATTTGGAAATTAGGTAGGTATAATTAACCTACATTACAGTGTTGTTTGTAGATTAAATTAGATAACATATATTCTGGATGTATCTTGAAAACTGCCAAGTATTAAACCAGTGACACAAATTTCATTATGATTATGACACCATTTGTTCATAAGTTTCATTTTATCACTAAATGATATGATTTTTTCACCAGAGCAATAAAATCAAAACAAAATATTAGTCTACTAAAGTCTTACTTAAGTTTAAAAAAAAGGCTTGAAGTAGAGGTTCTTCACTCCCTTTCTGTGTGCTATTGCATAACAGCCCTAATAACACTAGGCAGAATCAAACATCAACAGTGAAGAGTTAGCGGCCCAATTAAAATTACCGCCTTTTTTCTTAAAGATGCCAATTACGGTGTAACCTCTGAAATGTTAGGGAATTTTTTGACTTCTCAACGTGTTCAGAAATGGTATCCACCAACCTTTCCATACATGACCACTGTGTTTAAGAGCTGTCTTCAAGGATCAAACTTTCCAAACTAGCTCCTTTTACAGTGGGAGTGAAGTCTGTGTTACTGCATATTGGCACATTCACATAGCCCATCTATCACATAAGAAAGGTCTAATAAAATATGGCTAAAGTATTGCTGCAAAACTCCCTTTTCCCTTCTTTATTCCAATAATGCAGAAGTCTAATAATGGATTAATGGATGCCTCTAAGAACTGAGAATGTTCTTCCATCCCATAGAGCATCATAGGATGTATGGTGCTTGACCATTACAATTGTATTGTCTCTAACCAAAATGCCAATCCCAAACCCATATTTTCAGCTCACTCTCTCTCATGCCTCACAATAATTTTTGTTAAATCTTCACGACTCACCTCAAACATGCTCCACTAAAACCTCTTCTGTTATTCTCAACAACTAACCCTACTTTTAAAAGTCAGTGCCTTAAAACAACTCTCTAAACTTCCCACTATCTACTTATCAGTACATTTGTAGCTGCAACCATAACTTCATTATTCCCTCCTGCCTCACTGAATTAGGTTATCTTCCACCTCAATTGAAACTTCCACACCATGTCCTATGTCCTGACATCTACCTATGTTTCAGTCATAATTATGTTAAACTGCAAGTGAAAGAAAACACAAAATGGTAGTGGCTTAAACAGGATAGAAATTTGTTTCTTTTTTGCAAAAATTAGGATTCTACATAATTAAATCAGGGCTAGTATGATGACTCTACAACGATCAGAGGTATGACTTCTTCTGACTTGGGTCTCCACTAATCTGAACATATGGCTTCTACCCCATGGTTTAAGATTACTACTGAAGTTACAGCCAACATGTGTGCATTCCAGTCCACACAAATGCATCTACGTTCTTCCCATTGACTAGAATCTAATCCCAAGGCCTAGCTAGCTGCAGGGGAGACAAAATAATGCATTCTCTGTTACAGAAAATGGTAAGCCCAGCTAAATATTAAGAGAAGTGGTGAGTGGAAGAATGAATATTAGTGAACAAGTAACAGTCTCTACCACAGTCCTCTCCTGCTTCCTCATGTTCTTCTTTCTGTTCACATTTCCTCTTCCCTCTGTCTTCTAATTCCACCTCTCTATTGGGTCTTTCTTTAATCTGTTCAACCATCTTTCTAAATCCTGTGTCTCTAGCTACTGCTCTGCTTCTTTCCCCTCTTGCACCAGGTTTTATGAAGACTTTACTCTCACTGTCTTCACCTTCTTGCTGCATTTGCTCCTAAGCCTGTTGAAATCTGATGTATGCCCCTATTGTGGGTTGAACTGTGTCCCCCTAAAAAAGATATGTTGAAGCCCTAACCCCTCATACTTGTGAACATGACCTTATTTGGAAATAGTGTCTTTGCCAATGTAATCATGTTAAGATGAGGCTATACTAGATAAGAATGGACCCTAAATCAAATAACTTTTGTCCTTAAAAGAATGCCATGTGACACAGAGAAGGGACACAGAGACACACACACAGAGAGAGAATGCTATGTGGCAATGGAGGCTCAGATTGCAGTGATGCATTTGTAAGACAAGAAACATCACAGATTGCTAGCAGATACCAGAAACCAAGAGAGAGGCAAGGGTGGCACCTACCCTAAAGCAGAGAGCATGGTCCTGCTGATACCTCGATTCTGGACTTCTGGCCTCCAGTACTGTGAGAGAATAACTTTCTGTTGTTTTAAGCCACTATATATGTAGTACTTTGTTATGGTATCTCTAGGGAACTAACACAGCCCCATCCACCCCACTGAAAGATCCTTTACTAATGTCACAATAGTCTCTTCATGGCTAAATCCAGGGGACACTTGTCAGAACTTTCAAAATTTGTTATCTCTCTAAAACATTTGACAAAATTCCTCACACCCTGCCCTTGAAATCCTTCTGCCCTTGGTTTTAAGACACCACTCTACTGGTTTCCTCATATCTCCCAGGGAATTTCACCTCAACTTTCCTTTTTAACTCTTCTGTTTTGGCTCATATCCTAAATATTCATGTTACCTTCTTCCAATATAACATATTAACTGAAGTGAAATAAGTCAGTCACATAAAAACAAGTACTGCATGATTCCACGTATCTGAGGGATCTAAAATAGTCAAACTCACAGAAATAGAGAGTAGAACTGTGGGTGCCTGGGACTAGGAAGATGGGGAAACAGGGAGCTGCTGTTCAACGGGAATAAAGTTTTAGTAATGAGAGATGAATAAGTTCTAGCGATCTGCTCTATAACATTATACCTACGGTTAACACTGCATTATGCACTTAAAAATTTGTTAAGAGAGTAGATCTCATGCTAACGGTTCTTACCACAATTAACTAATTCATTAAAATGTTAACTGAACCAAAATACGTTTAATTCACCCCATCCTGCTCCCAGAGTCCCAGTGAAATGAATAGAATAATATAACATTTTAACATTTATTTAATTCATGTATTTATTCAGCAAACATTTATTAAGTGTCTATTATATTCCAGACACCGTGCTGGGTACTAGGGATACAGTAGTGACCCAGATAGATTAAGTACTGGACCTCATGAAGCTTCCATCTTTGTGAGGTTGTAATAAGAAATAACCAAAGAAATGTAGTAGATAATTACAATGTGTGATATGTGGCATTAAGGGAACAAATGGGATGACGAGATAGAGCAGAAGTCAGCAAATTTTTTCCTGCACAGAGGTACACAGAAAATAGTTCAGGTTTTTTGGGCCATATGGACTCTATTGCAAACTACTCAACTCTGCTGTTGTAAAGCAAAAAAAGCAACTAGAGGCAACACATAAGTGAATGGGTGTGGCTGTGATTCAATAATACATTATTAAAAAAAAAAGGACAATGGACCAGATTTAGGCCTGTGGGCCATAGTTTGCCAACTCTTAAAATAGAGAAAAGTTGGGGTAGGTCAGTTTAGATACAAAGATCAAAGAAAGCCTCTTGAAAAAATAGCACTTGAGCCAAGATCTGAAGGAAAGAAAGAGCCACACCTACTTCCCTCAGCCCACTAGCCTTTCAACTGGCAAAGATAACAAACAAATGTTTTATTTTTCTGTTGTTTGGCTCTAAAAGACTTGAATGACAACCCACATAATCTGTAAAATTGATCATTCCAAATGCTAGATAGACATCAACCCCTGTATCCTCAGTGTGAAAATTCACAGGCAAAGTCACTGAATTTATGAAAAGACTTATGAAAAAAGATAGGGATCAATCTGAAGCACTAGATAAAAATCTCCCTTCAAACAGACTTACTGAAGTAAATGGGAAAAGGGATTACAGAATCTCTTATCTGTATTCTTAGCAAGAATTGAAAATACACTGAAACTATAAAAGAAGAATAATCTAACGTACCATAAATATTATTTTATATCAAAATCTTTATTACTATAGAGACATCAAATTTTATACTGGGTTACTATTGAATCAGTGTACTTGTTGAAAAATGCAAAAAAAAAACAGGAGCTATGAAGAACACATTTAAGAAATATAATTTACTTACGGTAGAAGCTCAATATAGAAATAGAGCATATAAAGATAAAGCAATAATTATTAGAAATTATAGAATAGGCCAGGTGCGGTGGCTCACGCCTCTAATCCCAGTGCTTTGGGAGGCCGAGACGAGCAGATCACGGGCTCAGGAGATCGAGACCATCCTGGCTAACACGGTGAAACCTTGTCTCTACTAAAAATACAAAAAAATTAGCCGGGCGTGGTGGCGGGCACCTGTAGTCCCAGCTACTCCAGAGGCTGAGGCAGGAGAATGGCGTGAACCCGGGAGGTGGAGCTTGCAGTGAGCCGAGATCGCGCCACTGCACTCGAGCCTGGGAGACAGAGCAAGACTCCGTCTGAAAAAAAAAAAAAGAAAGAAAGAAAGAAAGAAATTATAGAATAGATTTTCCTTTTAGCTGAGAAGTCTTATTTTTTCAGCCCAACTGAATCAGTACCAGGCCAAATTCATGTAGAAGGAAAACCCAAACCCAGACATTTACCGCTGAAATTGTTGAATTTGAAGGCTTTGGGAAAACTACATATATCTAAAATAGAAGAGAAAGTGGGGTGAGCATGATGGGAAGAGAGAATATAATACGCAAACAGAAAAATGTTCCTAAACAGAGGTCACCTCTACAACTCTAAATGCTTTTAGAAACAAAGATTGTGATCCAGGGATTCTGTATTCATTCAAATTATCACTCACATCTAAGGGCAAAAAGATCTGCTAAAGATTCAGGAAGTATGTTACTTCTGTAAAATAATTACTATAAGAAGTACTTCAATCAAAATTTTTATAGTTTCGGGTCTTACGTTTACGCCTTTGATTGATCTTGAGTTAATTTTTGTATATGGTGAGGATGGGGTCCAGTTTCATTCTTCTCCATATGACTATCTGGTTTTCCGAGCACAACTTATTGAACAGGGTGTCCTTTTGAGAGGTGACAGCATACTGGCAGCGCTCGCAGCCCTCGCTCGCTCTCGTTGCCTCCTCGGCCTTGGCGCCCATTCTGGCGGCGCTTGAGGAGCCCTTCAGCCCGCCGCTGCACCCTGGGAGCCCTTCTCCGGGCTGGCCGAGGCCGGAGCCGGCTCCCTCGGCTTCCGGGGAGGTGTGCAGGGAGAGGCACAAGCGGGAACCGGGGCTGCGCCCGGCGCTTGCGGGCCAGCTGGAGTTCCGGGTGTGCGTGGGCTTGGCGGACACCGCACTCGGAGCGGCCGGCCCGAGCAGTGAGGGGCTTAGCACCTGGGCCAGCAGTTGCGGAGGGTAGGCCGGGTCCCCCAGCAGTGCCGGCCCACCGGCGCTGCGCTCGATTTCTCGCAGGGCCTTAGCTGCCTCCCTGCGGGTCAAGTCTCAGGACCTGCAGCCCGCCATGAGCCTCCCCTTCTCCCCCCTCCAGACCAATCGGCTCTCTGTAAAATGGACCAATCAGCAGGATGTGGGTGGGGCCGGATAAGAGAATAAAAGCAGGCTGCCCGCGCCTGCAGTGCCAACCTGAGGAGGTCTCCTTCCACACTGTGGGAGGTTTGTTCTTTCGCTCTTTGCAATAAATCTTGCTGTTGCTCACTCTTTGGGTCCACACTGCCTTTATGAGTTGTAACACTCACCACGAAGGTCTGCAGCTTCACTCCTGAAGCCAGCAAGACCACAAACCCACCGGGAGGAACGAACAACTCCAGACGCGCCGCCTTAAGAGCTGTAACAATCACCCCGAATGTCTGCAGCTTCACTCCTGAGCCAGTGAGACCACGAACCTGCCAGAAGGAACAAACTCCGAACCGCCGCCTTTAAGAACTGTAACACTCACCGCGAGGGTCCGCGACTTCATTCTTGAAGTCAGTGAGACCAAGAACCCACCAATTCCGGACACACTTTCCCTGTTGCATATTTTTGTTGACTTTGTTGAAGGTGAGTTGGTGTAAGTAGATAGCTTTACTTCTGAGTTCTCTATTGTGTTCCATTGATCTATGTATCTATTTTTATACCAGTACCATTCTGTTTTGGGTAGCATATCCAACTGAGATTTGAACCAGCAGATACAAAAAGCATAACAACAACAACAACAAAAATGAGGGAACAACTGTGACAGGTTTCCAAATGTAGCTGCAACATTACCTCCCCTCCCACAAGCTCTTCAGTCATGCAGCCTTGCTACTCTTCCATGAAAAGTCTATTCCATCCTCTTGAATCTGGGTTGAAGCTGTGACTGCTTTGGCCAATGCCACCCTGCAAACATAAAGCTATGCTCAGACTAGACATACCCCTTAATTGGCCAGGTAGCTTCTGTTTTGCTTCCGTTGGAGCTGTGAGTTGTGCTTAAGAAAGGGCAAGTGGTTCTTCTGAGGAAGAGGACACATAGAGGAGCATGGAGCACCTCAGACTTCTAGCCCAATGGAGCCTTCAATGACTCCAGCCTCAGCCTTTATCTGACAGTGAACACCTGAGATACTCCAAGTGAGAACTACCCAAATGAGTCCAGTAAATTCAAAAAACTATGAAAGAAAATACAAATTGGTGTTTTTTAAAGACACTAGAAATAAATCCCCAAACGGCAATTAATGTAGTAAAACAATGTGCTGCCTAATTGTAATTAATTTTACAATAAAACTGTTCAAATGTAAAACATAGGTCTTAAAATATATGATATAGGATTCTAACAAAATGTGTTAACGATATTTCAGAACTAAAACTCCAGATTCTTTTGACAAAAAAAAGTAAGAGAAGAAAGAATTAAAAGTGTAATGCATTTCTCAACTTATATGGAATATGAAAATAGTTACTATTTCATTCTTGACATTGATAAATTCATATTTAATTTATTTTCAAAAGGAAAATAGTTTTATTATGTTTCTGATTAAAAATTAGTAAATATGGCCAGGTGTGGTGGCTCACGCCTGTAATCCCAGCACTTTGGGAGGCCAAGGCGGACGGATTACCTGAGGTCAGGAGTTTGAGATCAGCCTGGCCAACATGGTGAAACCCCATCCCTACTAAAAAATAAAAATTAGCCGGGTGTGGTGACACACACCTGTAAGTCCCAGCTACTCGGGAGGCTGAGGCAGGAGAATCGCTTAAACCCGGCAGGTGGAGGTTGCAGAGAGCCAAGATCTCACCACTGCACTCCAGCCTATGCAACAGAGTGAAACTCTGTCTAAAAAAAAAAAAATTAATAAAGACTAGTTTTTAAATAATTACATGATACAGAAAAGTGTAAAGAAAAAAGTAAACATCACAGGCAATCTCATTTCCAGAAATACTACTAATAAGTAATTGGTTCATCATCTTTTTTTTTTTTTTAATACAGGATCTCACCATGTTGCCCAGGCTAGTCTCAAACTCCTGGCTTTAAGTGATCCTCTTACCTCAGCCTCCCAAGTAGCTGGAACTACAGGCATGTACCACCATGCCCGGGCATAATCTTGATTTGTAGAGGTATATTAACTAAGATCCTGCTTAACACAATGTTAAATGACGTATACAAAAATGGTTTCACAAACACTCCATTTCTATTTTTTTAAGTCTCAGTTTGTTTGATATCTTTCCATAGTTTAAATGCAGCACAAGTCTTGAGTACTTTTATTAAGAGCACAATATTTCATACTAAATAGGTCATATTATGCCAATAAGCTCCTTTTGATAGTGATACATGAAGGCACTTGGATGCATTGGCATCCTACCTAGCCATGTCCTTAAATTTAAAAGTTATTCTTTTAAATCACTGTTTCCCAACATGTGTGTCACAGAATACCAATCCAATTAGATGTTATAAGAGTAAAAGAAGTTAATGGTCAATAAGTTTAGAAAATTCTATCACAAACAGTACAGAAAGGTTTATTCTCATCTATGTCTTCTTGTTCCCCCGTGCAATATTTTCTCTAGGGGATATGCCCCGCTTTAGAACTGCTGGATCCATGCATTTGTGCATATACAGTTTCCCCACATACTCGCCAACTGGTCTCCAGAATGGATGCACCCACCAGTTTATACTCCATCCAGTAGATGAAGAGTTGCTGCTTCCCACAGACTTGACAATACTTGATATTATCCAACTTTTTAATTTAGCCATTCTTGTTAAAGTTTTAGTTTGCAATTATCTGAATTGAGATTCTTTTCATTATGCCTTTTAGTCATTTTAGTTTTCTCCTTCTTTGAATTGTCTCTTTATATTCTTTGCTCATTCTTCTATGTGATTGCCTGGGATTTTTAATTGTGGGTTTGTAGGATTTCTTTATATTTTAATCTTTTATTAATTGTTCACACCCCAAATATCTTCTCCCAGTCTGTCTATAGTGTCCTACACAAAACAGAAGTCCTTACTTTTGACTTCAATTTCACCAATTTTTTTTGTATGCCCTGGGCTTTACCTCATTTGAGAAATGCTCTCCCACTGTATTGTTACAAAGACATTCTCTAACATTTTTTATCATAGCTTTATAGTTTTGTCTTTTATTTTGAGATCTTCATTACAATGGGGGATCATTTTTATATGTGGTATGAATTTGGGGCCTGTATTTTCTCCAAGTGTTTAGCCAATTTTCACAATAATGTTTTTTAAATAATCTACCATTTTCTCAATGATCTACTTACCAAGTTCTTATATACACATGGATTTGTTTTAGATCCTATTTTATTTTAGATTCTATTCTATTGTCTATTTGGCATTTTTAGTGTCAGTATCACACTGAATTACTAGAGCTTAGTAATATACCTTAATATCTAGTAAGATATTTCCCAACCTCTCTCTTCTTTTTATGAACTGTTTTAGCTATTTGTGGATTTGCGTGTGACCAATTCACCTCTATTGGATTTTTTATTTTAGTTACATTAAATTTATATTTTAATTTAGGAAGAATTTATATCTTTATGTTAAATCTTCCTTCCACAAATCTGGTATTTCTACCTAATCAGTTCTTTTTTTAATGTCCCTTAATAATGCTTTAAAATGTCTTCCAAAATAATTTTTGCATTTTAGGTCAGTTTATATATATATATATATATATATATATATATATATGCTATTGTAAACAGTATCTTATCGTCTATTATATTTTTTAACGGCTGTTGGTGTAAAATAAGTCTATTTATCATTACGTACTGATTTGTGCTCAGCAAGCAAACTGAACTCTCTTTTTAGCTTTAGTCATTTGTCTGTTGATTCTCTTGAGTTTTCTATGTACTTAAATCATCTACGCGTACTGACAGTTTTGTCTCCTTCCTTATAGCTTTATCCCTTATTTCTTTTACTTCTCATATTTCATTGGCCAGGACACCTAGTCCTTTGTAGAAAAGAAGGGATCATAGCAGGCATTCTTTTTTGTTATTGACATTAAAGGGAAGACTTCTAAGGTTTCTCCATTAAGTATGATGTTTGAACATTTTTACCATATCTACCACTGAGGCAATACGATGTTTAATGGTGTGTTTATTAATAAAGAAATTGAAAACCTCATTTTGAGAGACAGAATTTCTTGCCAATGTAATACTAAGCTCCAAACTAAACTTAAAGTCTGAACATATTTTTCCAACTTAAAATAGTTTTAATTGTGCTTTTACCTCCCGGTTTTCTCATTTCTCTTTGCCAAATTTTGGCCCAGGGAATAGAGTGTAACAGTACTATTAGTAGCCATCTGACAAGGGATTAAAATAATTTATGGTTTGAACTATGGATATACAGGTTCTGTACCACTGCTTATGAAGTAACAAATGTAGCTGGTTTTTACTATTACAGATTAAGTTTTCACATTCATATATTAAGGAAACATCAGTGTTTCAATTCTATCTCTACTTAAGAACAAACTAGCTAAGCAATTGTAAGCAAATTATCAGATCTCACTGAGTTCACTTTCTGCTTCAGTAAAATGTGCAGTATATAAATGTTGGCTCATAGGGTTGTTGTAATGGGAATAATAACACTTATCTTAAAAGGTTTTGTAAGAGGCCTGGCACAGTGGCTCACACCTGTAATCCCAGCACTTTGGGAGGCTAAGGCAGGTGTATCATGAGGTCAGGAGATTGAGACCAGCCTGGCTAACACGGTGAAACCCAGTTTCTACTAAAAATACAAATAATTAGCCAGGCGTGGTGGCGTGCGCCTGTAGTCCCAGCCATTCAGGAGGCTGAAGCAGGAGAATCGCTTGAACCCAGTAGGTGGAGGTTGCAGTGAGCCGACATTGCGCCACTGCACTCCAACCCGGACGACAGAGTGAAACTCTGTCTCAAAAAAAAAAAAAAAAAAAAGGTTTTGTGAGAATTATATGATCTGATCATGACAAAATTTACAACAATGCCTAACAAGACTATCATGTTATTGTTTCACAAACTTTTTCTTTGAGTCTCTTCAAGAACTCTACGAGCCAGGTGGAGCTTATAATGACTATTATTTTTTACTCATTGTACAGATGAGGAAAGAGAAATTAAATTCATAGACAGGACTATATTCAGTGGGTATACAGTGATACATTGTTATGAGATGTCAAGATGTTAAGATCCTTCCATACAAGCTGGTAAATAGTTACTGCCAGTGCCCCAAGGACCATTTTTCCAGCTTCTCCCCTGGAACCCATTGCCCATTCCATGATCCAGCAACTGAAAGGCTAACATGCAACTAGCAGGAGGACTTGAGGACAGCTTGGCTGGTGACCACAAATTCCCAATTATTAAGTGTTTTGAATATAACCTTTGTTTTTTGTAAATGTCAAACCTAAGATTAACAGGTCATTTGAGTTCTAATTTACATAATAGACTAAATAAGGAGAAAAACATGAGACTATAGTTTCAGTGTATAAGCTTCTCTTAAGTAAAAAATGGGAGAAAATCCAGAATAGGGGAGAGAATATTCGTAATGCTGTCTGGTTGATAGAATTAAATCATCTGAGTAACAGGTTTTAAAAGTTCAATATAGTGAAGGTTGAACATTAATAGAAATATGCATATGCCATATTTATTATAAGGTCCTTTTTATATTTTGTAGCAAAATTGGATGTTTTACAATAAAATATGAACTTGTATTGCTTTTATGATTTTGTTATATCAAAACCTTAGGAACATTCTGCAAAGGCAGTTAGGATGACAGTAACAACCACCTGTTTATTTGTACATTTTAATTTTGAAAAGTTGCATTTACAGCATAAAATTTAAGAAAAATTCTAAAATAAAAAACAATAAAACCATATTACCATGCTTTACATGTTCAATATTAAAAACGGTTTAAAATATAAATTACCTGTAGGAGAAAGTAGACAGAGCTAATTCAGAGACCCTCGGTAACTACAAAGCAATAGACAACATTGACCAACCTCTTATGGGTTTCATGTCAATTTCACTCAATTTCATGTCGATTTCACTATAGAAACTATAGCCTCTGTATCATAGGAGTGAAATTTAAAAATAAGTTATCTCATTACATAAAAATTCCTATTATATCACTATCAAAGAGCTTATAATAGGTAAATAGGCAAAAATAAATAAATGTTCACAGGAGACCTTGAGCTTACCATAGTTTTAGGTTCCAAAAGTCTATAAACTGGTAAGTTGGAACTCGGAATATATTTTTCCATTGCTATAATTTTCTACTATATTTCCTGGTTCTTTGCATATATGTCACCTCCCACTTGAATTTGTAAAACCTTTTAAATCAAGTCTCAGGTTATATTATTTATATTTCCTAGAAGACGTAGCACACTCTATTGCTAGCAGGCATTAACTATAAAACAAATGTGTAGATTAACTAATTAATAAACAAAGTAGCAAAAAGAAATTAATTAATGATGGTCAGATTTCTAGACCAGCCCAGTTCAATTCTCCAATTAAATTCAATAAATATTTTTGATCCTCCACACTGGGCCAGGCACCTTAAACTAAAAAAATACAAAACCTACACCATAATATCAGTTCATCTAATCAGCACTCATACTGGGTATTTTCTAATGCATTTTGATTTCTCACATCTCCAGAGTAAAAAAAGTTGTTAATTCTTTATTTGATATTTAAAATTTGCATGAAAGAGAATACCTCTCCACATCTGTAGAGCTACTCTTCAGGAAACACACACACACACAGACACAGACACACACACACACACACAGAGAGAGAGAGAGAAAACTAAGGGAAAAATTTATAAAACAATAAGACACCTAAAATCATACCTGAATTTGATGCCGCTTAGTTTACTGCTCAAATCTTTGATTATTTGGCCACAACTTCAATCTCCTCAATAAATTAAAAGGTGGCTTCTAATCATATTCAAAAATAGGAGGGAAAGCTCTTCCAGTAAATTTAGTGCCCTATTTGACCCACCTCCAAAAGTTAATTTAAAATAACAAGCATTTGCCAACCAACCCAACCAGGAACTGTAACTAAAACCATAATACCATGTGATCAGCCATTTGAGATGCTGTTGACAAATCTTCCATTAGAGCAGGTTAAACTACCATCATTAACAACTCATCAGTCAATCTGCTGAGAGTCCTTTCCTATATCATTTCCTCTCTGAATGCATGGGGGTCACACAGCACTATTATATTAAATAACTCAGGGAAATCTAAAAAACATTTAAGATGAAGTGTATGACATGGTGTATTATTTTCCATTTACGGGATATTTCCAGTTTTATACTATCAGACTAGCACACATGGTATTCTCATCATTAGCATCAGAAGTTCCATAAACATATCACAAGTAATACAAGGGTCTATGGTTGCAATTTGCTTATAGTCACATCAAAAACAGTTTTCATGGTAGCAGTTTAGTTCCAGGAGTCATTTTTTCTCATTAGAAAACCAAAGCCAGCAAACAAATGCAGGATATGAGCAGGGTTGACAATCACTACTTGAAAGTCAGAACAACTGTGGTGTCACTTAGCTGACTGTTAGAGGATATTTGGGTGGAAATTAGACTAGTCCTGGCTTATTCAGTGCATCTTTTGAGTTTATTCCTGTTAAAGCCTAATTTTTAGATGATAACTGAAGAGAAATGTCTTACTCTCTCTAAAAGTAGATGTGACCTGGTGGTTTGTGTGGAATTACAAGACTTTTTAAAAACCCCTATTCGATGCTGTATGGATTCGAGATATTTTTCTTGGGTCTCTAGTTTTATAATCTGTTTCCTGTGAAGCTTACATGGCCAATTTTCTTATGAGAGAAGCTCTGTTTTGAGGACTAACAAATCCCAAAACACTAAATTTAAGTCCAAAATAAGCAGTTATCATAAAAGAATATTGAGTACTAGATCTTCGGTCATTTCAAAATTATTAGTGATACAATTTGTGACCACTTTTGTAATAGCCAACAGTTCACTACTTATATTCCTGGAAAATATTATGGAAGCTGTTCATAATCTTTTTAAAGAGCCACAAAAATTATTTTCATATTAAAATAAATAATAAATATTTAGCATTATCATAATGTTACATATAACTTTAGTATGGTTTCCAGAATAGCATATACAACTGGTTTTCCTCCTACTTAACAATTGCTCCTTAGTCTGTTTTGCTGTTTCCTGCTCAACTTCCTGATCTCTCAGCACTTCATTAAAGTGTTGCCGGGCTCTGTCTTTGGACTTCTATGTATGCTCCATCACCTCAACTTTCATTACTTTAAAGACCATCAAAATGCTGACAATGCCCAAATTTAGTCTGGACACCTCTCCTAACCTCCACACTCATATATCTAACTACTTACTCAATATCTCCATTTGGATATCTAATCTACATCTCAAGATTTACATGTCTAAAATTAAGGTCCTTATATTTTAACCTCCTCCTCTCTCCCACAAGCTGTTTCTCTCATAGTCTTCCCCAGCTCAATTAATGGTAACTTCTAGCTATTCAGGCCAAAAATCTCAGCATAATCTTTAATTCTCTTTCTATCACATCCTATTGCAATGTGTTAGAAACATCCTATATACAATGCATTAGAAACTCTTTCAAAGGCTCCACCTTCAAAATATAGGCAATGGAATACTGTTTGTCAATGAAAAAGGGTGCACACACACATACACACACACAGATACTTGTAAAAGTGTCCAAAATACTTTGAGTCAAAGAAGCCAGAGGCAAAAGATTATACATAGTGTAATTCCATTTATGTGAGTTTCAAGAACTGGCCAACCCAATCTGTGGTGATAGATATCAGAATAATCATTTTCTCTGGGGAGTCACTGAGGGTATTGGCTAAAAACACACAAAGGAATTTGGGGAGAATTAAAATGTTCTATTATTTGATCTGGGTGATGGTTACAAGGATGCATACACATGTTAAAATCCATTAGGTTGTTCACTTAAAAATTATTAATTTTATTGTATATTAATCATCCCTCAAGTAAGTATTAATATGTATAGAACATATATTTCTATTGCCTTGGAAGGGTCAAAAGGTGGTGTATTTAGTCACACAGAAGTCTCTTTGAAAAGATTAAGCTGTGACTCAGATTCTCCCAACCATCTAAGCAAAAACCAAAAATTGGGATGGGGTTATTTAGGAAAACCCTGTGGAAAGCCTCTTGTCTAATGGAGTAAATCCATTGAGAATTTTACACCAGCAGAACCAATTCGGACCAGTTTGGACAATAACAAACAGAGCAACAACAAATAAAAGAACACTGCTGACTCCCAAAATTCTACAGGCAGAAAACAAACTGATCAAACTACCCAGTTTTGTGCTCATGCTACCCTTCCTGAAAAATTAAGGATGACCTTGAAGATGGAGCCACAAGCCCAGAGGGTGGAGCCAAAAACTACAGAGTATCATCCTCAGGTCCAAAAAGCATAATGTTTGCCCACCTGGATTTCAATTTTTCTTGGAACTGGTGACTCCTTTTTCTTCTACATTTTCTCTTTTCAAATGGGAACTTCTATAACTTTTATCCTATGCCTATACCATCACCATTGTATTTTGGGAGAAACTAACTTGCTTCTTAAGTTTTACAGATTAACAGATGAAGAGTAATTATACCTCAGGATGGATTAGAGCCTCACCCATAGCTGATTATATTATGAGATTGGGGGATTTTGAGTTGATGAATTTATTTAAACTTCAAATTGCTGCTGAAATGGGTTGAGATGTTTAGGGATATTGGAGCCAGCTGAATGCATTTTGAATGTGGGACAGATGTGAAACTTTGGGAGCCTGAGGGTAGACTGTGGTAGGCAAAATAATGCTCCCCAAAGATGTTTATGTCCTAATCCCTGAAACCTACGAATATGTTATATTACATGGCAAAAGGGACTTTGCAGATGTGATTGAGTCAAGAACCTTGAAATAGGAAGATTATCCTGGATCATCCTGGTAGGTCTAATGTAATTATGAGAGCCTTTGTAAGAGAGAGAGAGAGACAGAGTGTGTGTGTGTGTGTGTGTGTGTGTGTGTGTGTGTGTGTGTGTGAGAGAGAGAGAGAGACAGAGAGAGACAGACAGACAGAGACAGAGAGAGAGAGAGATTTGAAGATGGAGAAAGAAGCCAGACGCCAAGAAATATAGATGGCCCTTGGAAGCTGGAAAATACAAGACACTAAATGATATTATCCCTTAGAGCCTCCAGAAGAAATGCAATCGGCAGACACCTTGATTTTAGCCCATAAAAACTTCTGACCTACGAACTTTAAGATCATAAATTTGTATTGTTTTTTTGTGTTTTTTTTTTTTTTTTTTTTTTTTTTGAGACGGAGTCTCGCTCTGTCACCCAGGCCAGACTGCGGACTGCAGTGGCGCAATCTCGGCTCACTGCAAGCTCCGCTTCCCGGGTTCACACCATTCTCCTGCCTCAGCCTCCCTGTATTGTTTTAAACTAGTAAATTTGTTGTAATTTATTACATCAGCAACAGGAAATTACTATACCCATCTACAGTTTATTTTCAATCTAACAGCTGGAGGGATCCTACTGAAACATAAGTCAGATGATATCAGTTATTTCGTTAAACACTTCAGTCCAGTAGCTGCCTTTCTTCCCACAGACTAAAAAACCAAAGACCTTATAGCCCCCGCTCAGGACTCTACAGTCTATTCTTCACCCCCTGCGCAATACCTCCCTGACACTTCATCCTCTGCACTCCACTTTCCCCTACCTCACTGCAGCCCGCCCGTGTACTTCAGGTTCCTTTACCCTTTACGCCTTGAGACCTTTGCCATTTAGGGGTCCATCTGTCTAAAATATTTTTCTCTCAGATATTTCTTTTCTTTTCTCTTTTTTTTGAGATGGAGTCTCACTCTGTTGCCCATGATGGAGTGCAGTGGTGCCATCTCAGCTCACTGCAACCCCTACCTCCCAGGTTCAAGAGATTTTCCTACCTGAGCCTCCCGAGTATCTGGGACTACAGGTGGGGCCATCACATCCTGCTACTTTTTGTGTTTTTAGTAGAGACGAGGTTTCATCATGTTGGCCAGGCTGGTCTGAAACTCCTGGCCTCAAGCGATCCTCCCGCCTTGGCCTCCCAAGTAGCTGGGATTACAGGCACTCGCCATCAAGCTCAACTAAATTTCGTATTTTTACTAGAGACAGGGTTTCACCATGTTGGCCAGGCTGGTCTCGAACTCCAGACCTCAAGTGATCAGCCCACCTCGGCCCCCCAAAGTGCTGGGATTACAGGCGTGAGCCACCATGCTCAGCCTCTCTCAGATATTCCTGTCTGTCTTTCTCAGCTCCTCCATGTCTTTCCTCAAATATTATTTTCTAAATAAGATTTTCTTTTGCCTTCTTATTTAGAACTGAATGTTCCCAACTCCAACCCCTAGCACTCTTTAATCTCCTTTCCAGCTTTACTTTTCTTTATTTTTCATGGCCCTAATTATCTCTCAACATACTCTATTTTTCTTATTTTGTTGATTCTCTCTCTTCTCCCACAAGAATCAAAACTATCTCACAGCCAAAATATCACCTGGATCATAGCAGGCACTCAAGCACCCCGTAAATGATTGTGACATAAATGAAGTTGACAGAATTACCTTTAGCAACTATGACACAGATATAGGAACTTTCACTAAGCTCCTTGAGGGCAGAGCTGGATCTTGCATGGCCTATGAAAATGTCTTTTTACCCCCAGCTCAGGACTAAAAATGGAGCAGGCACTAAACATGTACTTATGGCATTTTTTAATGTTTTTATTGTAGTAAAATATGCATAACACAAAATTTACCATCTTAACCATTTTTAAGCATACAGTTCAGTGACATTCACATTATTGTATAACTATCACCACTACCTATCATCTCCAGAACTTTTCATCTTCCCAGGCTGAAATTTTGGACCCATTAAGCACTAACTCCCCATTCCCTACTCTCCTCAGCCCCTGACAGCCACTATTCTACTTTCTGTCTTTATGAATTTGACTACTCTAGGTACCCTCACATAAGTAGATCATACAATATGTGTCCTTTTGTGACTGGCTTATTTCAGTTAGCACAATGTCTTCAAGGTCCATCCATGTTGTAGCGTGTTGTCAGAAGTGCCTTTCTTTTTAAGGCTGAATAATATTCTATTGGATGTATATATCACAATTTCTTTATCCATTTATCCATGAATGGACACTTGGGATGCTTCCACCTTTTGGCTATTGTTAATAATGCTGCTATGAAGATGCAAGTACAAATATCTATTCCAGTCCCTGCTTTCATTTCTTTTGGGTAAATTCCTAGAAGTGAAATTTCAGGATCATATGGTAATTATATGTTTAATTTTTTGAAGAATTTTCATATTGTTTTCAATAGCAACTGTGCCATTCAGCATTCCTATCAGCAATACACAATGATTCCAATTTCTCCATATTCTCATCATGCATTTTTTTGTGCTGTGATTTGTTTGTTTGTTTGTTTTTTTATAATAGCCATCCTAATGGAAATGAAATGATGTCTTACTGTGGTTTTGACTTGCATTCACCTAATGATCAGTGATGTTAAACATCTTTTCATGTACTTATTGACCCTTTGTATATTTTCTTTGGAGCAAAGTCCTTTTCCCATTTTTTAACCTGTTTTTTTTTCTGTTGTTAATTTAAGGAGTTAATATATTCTGGATATTAATTCCTTATTAGATGGATGATTTGTAAATATTTTCTCCTATTCTTTGGGTTGACTTTTCACTCCATTGATAGTGTCCTTTGATGCTCAAAAGTTTCTTATTTTAATAAAATCCAACTAATTTTTTCTTTTATTGCCTGTGACTTTAGTGTCATATCCAATAAATAATTGCCAAACCCAATATCATAAATATTTCTCTATTTTTTTTCTAAGAATTTCATAGTTTTAGCTGTTATGTTTAGTCTCTGATCCATTTCGAGTTAATTTTTATATATATAGTGTAAGGTAAAAGTCCATGTTTATTATTTTTCATGTAGATACCCAATTTTTTCAACACTTTTGTTAATAAAACTGACCTTTTCCCATCGGATGGTCTTAACACCCTACTTAATGGCTGTATTCGTCTGTTCTCATGCTGCTGATAAAGACATACCAGAGACTGGGCAATTTACAAAAGAAAGAGGTTTAATGGACTTACAGTTCCACATGGCTGGGGAGGCCACACAATCATGGTGAAAGGCAAGGAGAAGCAAGTCATGTCTTACATGGATGGTGGCAGGCTAAGAGAGAGCTTGTGCAGGGAAACTCCCATATTTAAAACCATCCAATCTTGTGAGACTCATTCACTATCATGAGAACAGCACAGGAAAGACCCACCCCTATAATTCAATCACCTCCCACCAGGTTCCTCCCATGACACGTGGGAATTGTGGAAGTTACAATTCAAGATGAGATTTGGGTGGAGACACAGCCAAACCATATCAATGTGGCATTTTAATTAAGTCACTTTATAATTAATTCCACTCTATAAAGAGTTTGCAGTTTATTGCATGGAATGATAAATTCATTTCTTCTTTTGGGTGGATGCAAGCAGTATACCTCTGTGAACAAAGCAGAAAATCACTATACTTGCCGTTTCATGCCCTCACTTCTATAATGGTTTGACTCTAAAATGTGCAGCAAACTTCTTTATATATATTCAAAAGAATGATTTACCCACTGTCTGATTTAATGCTTTTTAAAGCCTAAAAGCCTGTCAAACAGACTGAAGAATCATTTTCCATCCCTTTATGCTCCTGTGCCTCACTGTGGGCGACATTACATTACCCTACATTGTGCCTAGGTGTGCTCTTCCACCAATAGCAAGCCTACTGTCCTACTGAACAACTGCAAAAGTGAAGGATTTACAACAGGAAGCTTCCCCAAATGCTCATGTTTACTTTAAACCAACAATCATTAAGGAAAGAATCTGGTGGAAGGAAGACACAAGGTGACTTGCAAAGTCATTAATAAGAGGTCATAAATAGGTATAATCGAAGGTTTGGGCTTCTCTTAAAAAAAAAAAGAGAGACTTAAGAATTAAGTTATAATAATATCCCATTTAATGCCTGAATTTAAATGAAAAAGGGATCTACTGCAGGCCAGGTGTAGTTGCTCACACCTGTGATCCCAGCACTTTGGGAGGCCAAAGCAGGTGGATCACTTGAGCACAGGAGTTCGAGACCAGCCTGGGCAACATAGTGAGAACCTGTCTCTACAAAAATTAATGGGGCATGGTGCCATGAGCCTGTAGTCTCAGCTACTCAGGAGACTGAGGTGGGAGGATCGCTTGAGCCCGGGAGGCAGAGGTTGCTATGAGCCAAAATCATGCCACTGCACTCCAGCCTGGGTGACAGAGTGAGACTCTGTCTCAAGATTTAAAATAAATAAATAAATAGTAAAAACTACTGCAATAGGTTTCTGTAGATGTTATAAATTATAAATATATTAAAAACTGTGGTATTATTATCACAAGTTATCTCAATTATTTCATAGATACCATTCTTCAAGAACTCTATATACGAAACTATGATTTCAAAAATGTTTAACAATAGGAGCTTAAAATTAGATAAATTATTTTAAAAACTAAGGTTAGTACTAGTATAAATACCTGAAACCCTCAGGGAACCACACATCTCGATGAACTGGAAGGCACCACCAAGAGTTTTATGGTCACTCTGTCTTTCACTACTACCCTATTAATATGACAAGTATATTTGTGAACCTAGAAATGGACTTAAGTCTATTATTTGGAAAAAACTTTGTGTTTCTGATTTGTCTAGTTTAATTACAACTACAAATATTAATCAACTTCATCACTGGGTGGCATTGTAAGTACCCATATATGTTGGAGACTTCATTGAAAAAAAAGAGAGAGAGAGAGAGAAAGATCTGCTTTTAGAAAGTGTACCGACTTGGCCAGGCACGGTGGCTCATGCCTATAATCTCAGCACTTTGGGAGGCCAAGGCGGGAGGATTGCATAAGCCCAGGAGTTTGACCCATAGTGAGAAACATAGTGAGACCCTGTCTCTACAAAAAATATTTTTTTTTTAATTAGCCGGGCATGGTGGCATGCACCTGTAGTCCCAGCTACTTAGGGAGCTGAGGTGGGAGGATGACCTGAGCCAGAGAGGTCAAGGCTGCAGTGAGCTGTGATCATGCCACTGCACTCCAGTCTGGATGACAGAGCAAGACCCTGTACCCTCACCCAAAAAAATGTTTATCAGGTGATATCAACATGGACAAGCCTAGACTTACAAAAAACATTAGCCAATCCTAGAATTTTTTTCTAATAGTTAAATGATTATGATAACTCAAGAGCAGGATCATAGGAATATTGCATAAAAATAATAATTTAATTAAATTTAATTTAAACATAGGTGTTTACCTGAAACAGATGTGCCAATGGAGAGCTGAGTACATTTAGCATAAGTAGA
The DNA here is from genome assembly GCF_000001405.40 of Homo sapiens. Lineage (NCBI taxonomy): Eukaryota > Metazoa > Chordata > Mammalia > Primates > Hominidae > Homo > Homo sapiens. The sequence continues at coordinate 71,392,500 of NC_000012.12, forward strand.
AAGTATAATACCTAGCCTATATTACTTACAGAATTTGGAAGATAGCTCCAACGTGGGAGCCACTCTGAGACAAAGCTAGAACCCCCAAATGGCCACGAGGAGCTTATGACGCAGACTTTCAGCAGTAGCCAGAGGACCCTCTTTTCTGAGGCATAAAACATGGTACTGACTGAAGAGCTAAGGCTAGTGAAGGCAGTCGCTGTGTCCTAAAAGATGTTGTCTACAAAGTGTCCTCTAGTGGTCAAAGGCTATCACTGCATGTTAAAAATAGCAACCTTTCTCTTGTAAGACCATGAATCAGCTCTCACCGGTACTGGGTAGTTAATCTGGTGATTATTATTTTTCAAGTATATAAATGGTTTCCCACTTATCTTGATATCAGGAGACAAAGAAAACAAGGTCATTAAAAGTGTCCTGATTTAGTGGCCAAAAAAGGCGGTAGAGCCTAGCAATTAAAAGCGTGATTAGGAGTTAGGCAGCCTATGTAAATAAAACCTTGCTGTACTTCTTACTCGCTTCGTGACCGAAAAAATGAATTAAACTTTTTGCTTGTCAGTTAACACATCTGTAAAGTGGAGATAACTTTATTACCTCATAGGATAAGCTTCATAATAATCCTATAAGGTAATAAATATTAATCAAATCTGGAGCCACCTTAACTCAGAATCTTTTTTTATGTTATAATAAATTATCCTCACTTTTAAAGCTGCTTTCCATGTGTGTTTTCTACTATTATTTTCAGCCATTGCCATCCTACAAATACACTGACTATTATAAATAAATATTTTAGATTAGAATGTGCAGTCTTACTACAGGCTAGAGTTTAGTGTACTAAGGATTATTCTATTATATAGATTATCTAAGCCACTAACTAGGTAGATGAGAAAACCAAGGCCCTTAGAGTTTCGATGTCCTATCCCAGGTCACACAGTTAATAGAGTTGGGATTGTCTGAAACTCAGTAGGCCTAACTCCCAGTCCAATGCTCATTTATCATATGATTTATTTCACTTTTCTTCCCAATCCATAAAAGTCACCACAGATCACACTCCAGTGCAGAGGGAACCAAGAAACCAACTGCTTCTTCAACATAGTTTCCAGACATGGCAACAATTAACCACTTTTTGTAGGCAGTTAATGGATTAACACAACCGCTAAGATTATAATGAAAAGATACTGGAAGAACCACTGTGAAAGCAAAACATCGGCGAGTTCACATCTTACTGAAACATCAGTAATTAGACATTGATATGTGAAAAAATGTAGGCAAATGATGAAACCGGGTTAATGTACTTACTCCATAGCCAACCCATCAGACTACCTTCACCCACTTCCTGCTTTCAGTCCAGCCCTGATAAGAGTTATTTGGCTGTCATTCTGCCTTCCCTCCAGTTTACCTCCTGCCATCTCTTCTTAAATCTGTAGATATGTAATTTAATGGCATCACTATTGGCCCAATGGCTTAGACCCAAAACCTGTAGTCTCTTTAGATGTCTTTCATATTCCATACCCAAACCATTAGCAAATTCTGAATTTACCTTCAAAATACATTCCAAATCCCATCACTTCTCACCAACTACACAGCTACTACTTTGATCCTTTTCTTCATAAACCTTCACTTTGCTAACTACTACAACTGCCTCATAACAAATACTTTGCTTCCACTCGTCTGTTATAGCCCAAAAAATGCTACATTTAATTATTTCTGTGTTTAAAGCCTCCAGTGGCTTTTTATCACATTCAAAATAAAATCCAAACCTGTTACCTTAGTTTACAAGCCCATCTTAATATGATCCTTGGCTCTACTTTCCAACTGCATGTCCTGTTCATCCCACTCTACACTGCCCTCCTTGCTGCTACTTGAAAAAGCCATGCTTTTTCCCAATTTAGGGGTTTTTGTCTATGCAGTTTCCTCTGCTGAACAGATTTCTCCTCCCAGTATTCCAATAAGTGGCTCTATCGCTTCAGTCAGGTCTCTGCTCAACTGTCTGTCACCTGTCAAAGAAGCAGTCTCTATTTCATCTACATTAGAACACCTATCATTCTATCCCTTCATCCTGCATATTTTTTCTTAAAGCATTTATTATTACCTTACATTATATTACACATTTGTTAACTTTTTATTATTTGTATCTTGCACTAGAAGATAAGCTTTGTGGTGGCACAAACTTGTTTTGTTTACTGATGTTTCCCCAGCTCCTAAAACAGTGCAGAGCACACATTAAGTACTCATAAGTTATAGTCAGAGAAATGAATTAATGCCTCCATATTTCACCTCTTAACTTCTGAGCATTGCCCACTGTTTTCCAGTTTGAAAACATAATCCATGCACTAATTAACTATTCTTAGATGCCGCATCACAATTTGTGGTTCTCCCTCTTTCACTTCAAGTACTGAAAGATACAGATCAATTGCTGGATGTTAAAGTGATCTAATGGTAGAAACTGTCTCTCAGCTATTTATAACCAGGCTACAATGCCTGAAATTCTATAGCAAGCCTCTATAAAATTTCTTCAGCTCTCACAGCTTGCTGTCACCACATTTAAAATTGCTTTATGGGATTGAAAGGTGGAGGCAATTTGTGGTCCTAAGTAAAACTACTTGCTTTCAGTTAGTTTGGCTGTGAAGCAAGAAGATGGTGAGTATCCAGGATGTCAGCTGTGATCAGCTTGTCTTACTATCTTCTGTTAAATATGGCACACAGGGCCGGGCGTGGTGGCTCACGCCTGTAATCCCAGCACTTTGGGAGGCCGAGGCGGGTGGATCATGAGGTCAGAAGATCGAGACCATCCTGGCTAACACGGTGAAACCCCATCTCTACTAGAAATACAAAAAATTAGCCTGGCATGGTGGCAGGCACCTGTAGTCCCAGCTACTCAGGAGGCTGAGGCAGGAGAATGGCATGAACCCGGGAGGCAGAGCTTGCAGTGAGCCGAGATCACGCCACTGCACTCCAGCCTGGGGGACAGAGCAAGATTCCGTCTCAAAAAAGAAAAAAAAAATGGCACACAGAAAATACTGAAGAAATGATTCTGTTGCAGGCCCAAGCCTCAGAACCATCTAATAAGGTGACATGAGTGTCTTACTGTAATTTAAGGTTGAATTAGGGCCTTTGGGCATCACAATACAGTCTAATTCAACCATCACAAGCATGTCTTTAGAAGGGAATATCCTTGCAGGTCTACAGAAAACAACTCACATTCTGCCCCACTGGGTTCCATAATGTAGGATATCACCTGCCACACTCATGACTCCGTTCATGTTTTCTTCCAGGAGTCATTGCCTCAACAGAACATTTCCTGGCTGCAAGCACATCCAATACAAGGCATAAAATAGCCAGTCCTGTATAAAACATATGAAATGGTAGTTCTTTTAAATACTACATTTTGAAGTCTGGAGTCAAGAAAAATGGGTCCTATATTCCCATCTTTTTGGAAACTATCGAGAATTGTTATTTTATACAGAAAAGGTAACTGACAATTACTGAGCCCTTACTGTGTGCCAGACACTTTATGAAGCCAGTGACTTCATTTGTTTTAATTCTTACAACATTGATCCTGTAAAATAGGTATCATCACTGCCATTTTGCAACTAGAAAACAGATTTAGTGATCTCAAGAGGCCTGCCCTCCTAACCTCCTAATCTCCCAGTCTTCTCCAATCAGTTAATGTCACCACCAGCCTTTCAAATGCTCAAGCTATAAATCTAAGTGTCATCCTTAACACTTAGACACGTCTTCATCTTCACTGCTCCTACCAGTTCAAATAACTATCATTATTACCTGGGCTACTGCAATAGCCTCCTAATTCATCTCTCTGCTTTTATACTTGCCCACTCCATTCTCTAAGCCCAGCAGCCAGAATGATTTTTGTAAAACATAAACCATAAAACAAACTGACTTAAACACTTCCATGATTCCCCACCATACTTACAATATAATTCAAACTATTTTACCCTGCATACGAAACTCTGGATGATCTGCTAAGAACCCTAACTTCATGCTCTTATCTTTCCTCTCTCCAATAATCAGAACTTATTTCTGTTCCTGGAACACACTAAGCTTGTTCCTACTTTAAGGCTCCTGCTCTGGAACTATCTTCACACAGATCTTCACAAAGAAGTTTGTGGTCATTCAGTTCTCAGCTGCTATGTCACCTCCTTAGATGGATCTTTTCTCTTGACAACCTAAAGCAGCCCCCCATCATCACACCCTGTAGTATCACCCAGTTTTATTTCTCCATAGTACTAACTGCTGTCTGCTAATTTCTCTTTTTTAAGAGAAAAAAAGTTTTTTTATTTCTTTCTTTCCGTCTCCTCCCACAAAAATGCATGCTATAAGATACCTTGCCTGTCACATATAGCACTGTGATTCCAGCACTTAAAACAGTGTCTGGGACATTATAAGTAATTGATAAATGCCTAAGTATACACTGTTAATTCCCAGATCAAGGTTAAAATTCAGGTATCCATCCACAAATTTTTTCTACTATATTTTGACTTCTCCATGACTTTATCTTAGAATATTATACATTGTAAAATTTACTATTCACTTTACATATACTGATCTCTATTCACTTTACATATACTGATCTCTATTCACTTTACATACACTGAACTCTATCTCCTTTAAATTATAATTATCTTTATCCTTCAAGGCCTGTTTTACTTTCACTATGGCACTTTTCTTCATACCCCAATCAAGTTTAATCACTCCTTTCTCAATATTAGTATAAAATCTTTATTATATTTTATTTTTGAAACTTAGATTACCTTGGGTTTTTAAATCTACCTCTCCAGCTAGACTATAAGTTCTTTGAAGATAAAGATCATGTCAACTCTTTTTCATTTTTCCCAATGCCCATCAGACATAGAAGGCATTGAGCATAGAATTTAGTCAATAAATTCTTGCTGAATTAAGTTATTTTTTTCTCTATGCAAAGATTTTGTTGATTTTCAGAGATATAAGTCTCTCACAATACAATAAAAATCACTCAAGGAGACAAAACAACCTGTTTATTGACAATAAAGATAATTCCAGGGAATTTATTGGAATGACTAAGGTTCAAGGCAGTATTCCACACATTCTAGAATGAATTCCATGAAGAGTAAATTGCATCTCACTGACTCAGAACCTATAAATATTTTTCAAGTAATATTGACACAGGATGTTGAATTCCAAACAACTTTTTAAAACCACTAATCATTCACATTTCCCCTCAAATGTCACACAGTATAAAACTAATGGATCTTTTGTGACTTGATGACATTTGTCTCCATTTTTAAAGGTATTATAATGGAAATGTGGCCTTCTATCATCCTGCTACAGTTGGTATAAATCCACTAGATACTTTTAAAAAATATTTTGGGAACACACAGTCATGCAAACCAATGTCTGCCTGTCCCAGCAGGGGATAGTAAAAGACTTTACAAACACCAGATGGGATTTAACAGCGTTAATAAAACATTAAATGCTCCAAAAGTGCTAAGTCACTTTGTGAACAACTCAAAAAAAATATATTTGATTTCCATTATACATATTTTTCTTTCCTAAGAAATTCTAAAATTTTCCAGTAAAAGTTTTATCATAGTCCTCTGACAGTTAATTTCTCTTAATGTTAAACTATAATTATCTACCGTTTGGATACTATGCATAGATTAGTATTTGTGGTTTTGTTAACAACTTTATAATTTTACCATAAATATAGAACATATCAAGTTCTCAATGAATTTCAACATGTTTAATGCCTGCTTCACCAGAAATCCAAAGCAGAAATATTTTTGTCCAATGTGACTTATTTTTGTTATACCTAACTATGTATGAGTTGACATTTTCATAAATATTTTATAAAATAGTAATTGGTAATCAATATGATCTAGAAATACATTATTCTCCAATTTATTTTAAAAAAATAATATTCTTGGAATCTTCTGGGAATATAAGATTGTAATCATAAAATAAAATCAATTTTCTATTCAAAGTGACTAGAAGCACAGATAATCCCCCCAGAAAAAAAAATATATATATATATATATCACACACCCAATTGGATTTTATTGAATGTTTTGCTCGAGTAGCAAGCTTCCAGACTGGAAACAAGAAAAGGCAGAATATCTACAAATGTTATTTTTTTTTTTTTTTAGAGACGGAGTCTCGCTCTTTCACCCAGGCTGGAGGGCAGCTGTGCGATCTCGGCTCACTGCAAGCTCTGCCTCCCGGGTTCACGCCATTCTCCTGCCTCAGCCTCCCGAGTAGCTGGGACTACAGGCGCCCGCCACCACGCCTGGCTAATTTTTCGGTATTTTTAGTAGTGACGGGGTTTCACCGTGTTAGCCAGGATGGTCTCAATCTCTTGACCTCGTGATCCGCCCGCCTCGGCCTCCCAAAGCAAATGTTCTTTACTATTGTTTTACTTTACTGTGATTAGAAAATGGCTTGCTTTGCCTAAGTACATGTCAACTCTCAGTAAATGGTTTCAATTCATAAGAAAGCAATTGAAAGTCATTCTAAAATTAAATTTTAGCTGCATTTAATATAGTAAGTATATAATCCACAAACAAACAATAAAGCAACTGAAGAAAAAAAGTATTCATTTGGCCTAGCCATGTCTGTGAGTAGATATGCTATTTTACTATCCTCTGAACCATGTCACTTATCTCAGATAAGGAAACAATTCAGTGCAAGAAAATGCTATCACAGAAATCAGTGCAGCTGGAGTAAAATACCTGTGAGCTCACTTGATGACAGTCCACAAACCAAAGAGGGTTCATGGGTTTGCTCAAAGATGGGGTCAGGGAAGGGTCTCTGTTTTAGTACATTTAATCTCAAAGAGAGTGAAAGTCACAAAAAACAAATCTAATTACGTCACTCTCCTGCTTAAACTCTTCATTACCCTCCCTCTGATCTCAGGAGAAAGTCCAAAATCCCAAAATGCCATCCAAAACGCTTTATGAGCTGGGTTTGCTGAGTTCTCTGGCATCAACTCTCAACATGCCCCCACTCCCTTCACAGCTGTGCAGCAAAAT